>NW_013171806.1:0-185507 GCF_000001405.40 Homo sapiens
TTTATTTGTGAGAAAATGATTCTTCTATCCTTCACAAGGAGTAGGAAACATCATGAGGAATCTCTGGGGCTTATGTTAAATAGTAGAGTTATTAGAATGTCTAAGAACTTTGTTGTAACTAATATAACTACAACGTATATGCAAAAAAAAACTTACTTATAGCTATTTCACCACCACTATGCTTGCCTAAGATGCCTTATCTTGTCATACCTTTGGGTAGAGAGGGATATTGCTTTTATGACTCATAATAGGGTACTTGATCAGGGCACTGCAATATGGGACAAAAAAGGAATAATGAGCCTAATCTATGAATTTATACTGCAGGCCCTCATGCCAACTGTGTTAGTCAGGGCTCTCTAGAAGGACATAACTAATAGGCTACATATATATAAAAAGGGGAGATTATTAAGGAGTATTAACTCACACATTCACGAGGTTCCACAATAGGACGTCTGCAAGCTGAGTAGCAAGGAAGCCAGTCTGAGTCCCAAAGCTGAAGAACTTGGAGTCCATGTTCGAGGGCAGGAAGCATCCAGCATAGGAGAAAGATGTAGGCTGGAAAGCTAAGCTAGTCTGATCTCTTCATGTTCTTCTGCCTGCTTTTATCCCAGTCGCAGTGGTGGCTGATTAGATTGTGCCCACCCAAATTAAGGGTGGGTCTGCCTTTCCCATCCCACTGACTCAAATGTTAATCTCCTTTGCAACACTCTCACAGACACACCGAGGATCAATACTTTGCATCCTTCAATCCAATCAAGTTAACACTCAGTATTAACCATCACAAGTCCACCCCTTGTCAACTCGAACCCATACACACCTCCTGAGATCATACATAATCTTCAAATAAAGAGAATTATAAGGTCATAATTATGCCTAACATATTACAACTATCCTTCATACAACTGGAAAGGCACCAATCCCCAATCCAAATGCTATTACATAAAGTTAAAAACACTTAAATGCTAATGTGAAGTCAGTAAATCTTAAATCACATGATAATGGAAAAAGGAAATAAAATGAAGATATTTTCTTAGTACAAGTGTATGCATGAACAAATATGTTTTTAACAAAAGAAGGAGGAAATACTCATGACAATTACAGTTCTCCTTTCTGCAACTGGTCACTTGGTTGTGACTGGTATTGATGATTACCTTCTTCTACGACCCATTCTGTTTCCCTTTGCCTTCAGCAAGCACCTCAGCAGGTCGTGTTTTTTTTTTCCTGGTGGAGTGACCCAAACCTTCATTCCTGAAGGGTCTGTCTGGACCATTTGTAGTCCTGCCTGGATTGGGATGTTGTAGTTTCCTATTGACCTTAATCACAGGGCATGGTGATACTAAGACAAGCCCCAAAGGGATCTCCTGTATTCCAGGCATGCTCTTTCTTACTTCCATTATGGAGTAGTAGACAGATTTCATCTTGATAGGCTGGGTAAGTCACCCCAGCCAACATTGTAACTCCCTTCTTAGCCTGTTGACTTAAAGGTAGGAAGAGCCCAAAGTGTCCACGTGGCAATCTCAACTTCCAGTTTAATGGAATTGTTGTGTCTCCTGGTGGGAATGCTCCTCCCTCTGGAATTAAGACCTGTAGGCCAGCAGAATGTAATGTCATGGGAACAGGAAGCAAAAATTTTGCTAGTGAATCACTAGGGGTGATGGTGGGTGGTGCCACTTCCACTTCCACCCCCTGATTCCTGGACTTGTGAATCCTGGCTATGGGAGAAACAGTACCATATATTGGACACTGATTCAGAGCATACATGGCCTTCCGGAGAACTTTGCCCCAGCCCTGAAAATTATTGTCACCTAGTTGGCGTTGTAATTGTGACTTCAAAAGGCCATACCACCATTCTATCAATCCAGCTGCTTCAAGATAATGTGGAACATGGTAAGGCCAGTGAAATCCATGAGCATGAGCCCACTGCCGCACTTCTTTAGCTATAAAGTAAGTGCCTTGGTCAGAAGCAATGGTGTGTGTGGAATACCATGACGGTGGAAAAGGCATTCTGTGAGTCCACGGATGGTAGTCTTGGCAGAAGCATTGTGTGTAGGATAGGCAAACTCATATCTAGAGTGTCTATTCCAGTGAGGACAAATCTCTGTGCTTTCAATGATGGAAATATAAGCAACCTGCCAATGAGTAGCTGGCTGATCTCCCCTAGGAATGGTGCCATATTGAAGGTTCAGTGCTGGTCTCTGCTGTTGGCAAATTGGGCGCTCAGCAGTGGCTGTAGCCAGGTCAGCTTTGGTGAGTGGAAGTCCATGTTGCTGAGCCCATGTGTAATCTCCATCCCTGCCACCGTGGCCACTTTGTTCATGGGCCCATTGGGCGATGACAGAGGTGGCTGGGGAAACAGGCGGAGTGGTGTCCACAAAATGAGTAATCCTATCCACTTAATTATTAAAATCCTCATCTGCTGAGTTCACCCTTTGGTGAGCACTCACATGGGATACAAATATCTTCACAGTTTTTGACCACTCAGAGAGGTCCATCCACATACCTCTTCCCCAAATTTCTTTGTTACCAAGTTTCCAATCATGCTTCCTCCAAGTCCCTGACCATCCAGCCAAATCATTGGCTACAGCCCATGAATCAGCAAATAATCTCACATCTGGTCATTTCTTCTTCCATGCAAAGTGCACAACCATGTGCACTGCTCAGAGTTCTGCCCACTGGGAAGATTTCCCTTCACCACTGTCCTTCAGGGATGTCCTAGAAAGGGGCTGTAGTGCTGCAGCTGTCCACTTTTGGGTGGTGCCTGCATATCATGCAGAACCATCTGTGAACCAGGCCCTAGTCTTCTCATCCTCTGTCAACTGATCATAGAGAATTACCCATGAGGCCACTGGTGCAGGCAGGGGAGAGAAGGAAGGGTGCCAGGAGTAGATACCATGGGCATTTGAGCCACTTCCTCTGAAACTTAGTTGTGCCTTCAGCACCTGCTCGAGCTCAATCACATATATACCACTTCCATTCGATGATGGAATGCTGCTGTGCATGACCCACTTTATGACTAGATGGGTCATAAAGCATCCAGTTCATGAAAGGCAGTTTAGGTCACATGGTGACTTGATGACCCATAGTCAAACGTTCAATTTGCACCAAAGCCCAGTAACAGGCCAAGGGCTGTCTCTCAAAAGGAGAGTAGTTATCTGAAGAAAATGGTAGAGCTTTGCTCCAAAATCCTAGAGGCCTCTTCTGTGATTCACCTTTGGGGGCCTCCCAAAGGCTCCAAACAGCATCCCTATCTGCCACTGACACCTCAAGCATCATTGGATCTGCTGGGCCATATGGCCCAAGTGGCAGAGCAGCTTGCACAGCAGCCTGGACCCATTGCAGACCCTTCTCCTGTTCTGGACACCACCCAAAACCGGCAGCCTTTCAGGACACTTAATAAATGGGTCCGAATAACACACCCACATCAGGAATGTGTTGCCTCCAAAATCCAAGTAGGCCCACTAGGAGTTGTGCCTCTTTCTTGTTTGTAGGCGGGGCCAAATGCTGCAACTTATCCTTCACCTTAGAAGGAAAATATCAACAGGACCCACACCACTGGATCCCTAGAAATTTTACTGAGGTAAAGGGCCCTTGAATTTTAGTCAGATTTATTTCCCATCCTCTTGCACACAGTAAGTCCAATGTGTCTCACCAATAAGTCCAGTGTGTCTGCTACTTCTTGTTCACTGGATCCAATCAGCATAATATCATCAATGTAATGGACCAGTGTGATATCTTGTGGAAGCAAAAAAGCCATCAAGGTCTCTTCGAACAAGATTATGACACAAAGCAAGAGAGTTAATATACCCCTGAGGTAGGAGAGTAAAGGTATATTGCTGGCCTTGCCAGCTGAAGGTGAATTGCTTCTGGTGGGCCTTATGGACAGAAATGGAGAAAAGGGCATTTGCCAAATCAATGGCTGCATACCAGGTACCAGGGGATGTGTTCATTTGCTTAAGCAATGAAAGCACATCTGGTACAGCAACTGCAATTGAAGTCACCACTTGGTTAAGCTTATAATTAACCAAGATCCATCTGTCTTCTGCACAGGCCAAATAGGAGAGTTGAATGGGGATGTGATGTGAATCACCACTCCTGCGTCTTTCAAGTCCTTGATGGTGGCACTAATCTCCACAATCTTTCCAGGGATGTGATATTGTTTTTGATTTACTATTTTTCGAGG
Source organism: Homo sapiens (assembly GCF_000001405.40). NCBI lineage: Eukaryota > Metazoa > Chordata > Mammalia > Primates > Hominidae > Homo > Homo sapiens. Next base: position 4,181 of record NW_013171806.1, read on the forward strand.
TAGAGCAGCTCTAACAGTTTCCATTTGGCCTTTCCCACCATAATGGCCCTCACCCTACTAGTCATGGAGCCAATGTGGGGGTTGTGCCAGGTGCTAAGTACGTCTATGCAAATTATGCATTCTGGCACTGGGGAAATGACCACAGGATGAGTCCAGGGACTCACTGGACCCACTGTAAGTTGGACCTGAGCTAAAAATCCATTAATTACCCGACCTCCATAAGCCTCTAGTTTAACTGGAGGACCACCATGATGTTTGGGGTGCCCTGGAATCAATGTCAGCTGAGTCAGTGTCCAGTAGTTTCTGAAATGTCTGATAATTTCCCTTTACCCAATGCAGTTACCCTGGTAAAAGGCTGGAGGTCTCCTTGGGGAAAGATGGGAGAAAGATTAACAGCATAAATTGTCGGTAGTGTATTGGGGTCCTTCCTCAAGGGGACCTAGCCTCCCCTTCATTCAAGGGGTTCTGGGTCTGTAAACTGGCTTAAGTCTGGAAATTGATTGAGGGGATGTGGTTCTCTGTTTTTATGATTCAAATTAGTGTTTTGTCCACTCGACCCGGAAGTTTTCTGCTTATATAAATTAAGTAGGAATGTTGTAGGTTTCCTATCAATTTCACTTCTAGGCCCTCTATGATTAATTAGCCAATGCCAGAGCTCTCCAGGAGTGAGACTATTCCGATTGCTGCTTTGCTTCCACTGTCCATTATGGTAGCTATGCCCACCTTGCCTTTGACGGTTTAGTGCTGTCACTTGGCCCCTGCCACTTCGGGATCCAATTATTCCCATTGTATTTAAATTTTGTAGTTGAATGACTGCCATTCCCACTGTTAGATCTGACATACAGAGAAGAACAATTACAGGGCTCTTTCAAAGATGCAGGTACTGTGCTCACAAATCTATTTCACAAAGCATTGGTCAAGGGTCTATCTTCTGGACCCTCCCAGCTGGGATGAGTAGGTCTAAAGTGACTAATCCACTCCACCGTCTCACTCTCCCTAAGCCTTTGGCACCCATCCTCTACATTAAACCAAGGGAGATCAGGTATTTCCAGCTCACTCACAGTGGGCCATCTTTTAATCCATATTTCAGCTAACAAGCAAATAAATGATTAGAAACACTTTTATCTCCCCAAGCTGCAACATTAAATGCAGAATCCCTGCTTAGTGGGCCCAAATCAATAAATTCAGCCTGATCCATCTCTGTTCTTTCCACCATTATCCCGTACCCTTAATATCCATTCCTATGTCTGTTTTCCAGATTTCTGCTTCTATAAATTAGAAAACTCAAGCACTTCTTTTCAAGTGTGGGTCACGCTCTGAACTTCACCTCTAGAGGCCTGCCAGGACTTTAGTCTAGTTATAAGTCTAGAAGCAAACAGGAGTGTTAGAGGTGGCTCCTGAAGAAAATCAACATTATCCTGCCTGGCACCTGCCTCAGGGGAGGCTATCCTTCTTGCCTTAGTAAGCACAGAGTTTATCTCCTCGGACAAAAGTGGAAAGGCTGATGGCAGCGTGGGTCAGGGAGGGGATGTTGCCACTACTGGGGGTGGGAAAGCTGTTTCTTCTGGCAAAAAAAGGTTCATCAGAGTTCACAACTCAGTATCCCCAGCTTCATCAAGGTCCTCCCACACATCCCCATTCCAAGTTGTAAGGTCCCATTTTTTCCAATCAATGTCCTCACTTTAACAGCAGACACCTGGTGAGGCTGTGCATGCACTTTTCATTGCAGGTCAGCCGCTCACATGATAAGAACTTGTGTTTGATTTTCCACAATTTTACCTCTTTCTCTACAGGAGATAAGACTCTCACTCAGCAACCTTAGCAGATTTGAGGCTCAGTATCTGCTTCTGAAGCTGGGAGTTAGAATCCCTGAGTTCATTTTCTTTCATCCCTTTTCCAGTGAACTTAGGAGCAAACAACCAACTTCATTATATTCCTTGGTTCCCCACATACAGTCAGTTATTATGTATAGAGTCACTAAACTCCTTGCCTCTCATAAGCAGTGAATCAGGAGAGTCAAATGCATTTATTTTGCATAACTCTCTAAACAGCTCATGCCAAGGACTCTCAGTGTTCTCCATGCTATTAGAAGTAGAGTCCTTAGCATTTTTTAGTTTAATCATATTAAGCAGCGAACTCCAGAAACCCTAAAAGCACAAAAAGAACTCCATCCTTAATATTCTGTTCCTCTAGAACCACTCCTGTATCAAAATTGGCATTATTCAGGGTTCTCCATTGCATCCCTCAATCCAATCAAGTTGACACTTAACTGTCACACCAACCAGGACAGATAAGGACAACTTAATATTGAAACTTTCTCAGTGTGAATACTGCACTGGTTTGCCAATGATTAGATTGGCCACTATGATGAAACTTTCTGGAACGAAATTGCCAGTCTTTCTGAAACTAAGTTAAATGGTTTTGATAAAACAGTCATGTACCTTGTACCAACGTTTTAGTCAAGGACAGACTACATATATGAGGTTGTTCCATAAGATGATGATGGAGCTGAAAGTTTCTTATTGCCTAGTGACACTATAGCTGTTGTAATGTTATAGCATCTTACATTACATTACCCTTTCTGTGTTTATATGTGTTTGGATAAACAAGTATTTACCACTGTGTTATGATTGCCAACAGTGTTCAATACAGTACCATGCTGTACAGACTTGTAGCCTGGAGGCTGTAATGTATAGCATAGCTGTGTAGTAACCTATACCATCTAGGTAAGTACACTCTAGGATGTTCACACAATAATGAAATCGCCTAAGGATGCATTTCTCAGAAATGCATATATCCCCATTGTTAAGTGATGCATGGTTGTACTTACATGATAGTATTATTTAGAGAAGTAAGTTGGGCAACACGTGAAACGTACTCAAAAGTTACGTATATTGTGGTGTTCAATAATGACTGAAATATGAATAAGTGAAATTTTATATGAATGTAGAAGCTATATTTTTATAATCTCTCACCATGTATTCCAGATAACTTTTATAACTCCTTGAAATGTTTTGTAAAAATAATTCTGTTTGATCAATATTTCATAACATGGATTGAGCACAATTGTTTAACCGTTCCTCTACTGTTGAAGATTTCATTTGGTTTCCAAATGTTTTACTATGCAAATACTGTATTAGCATAAATATTTTGGCCAGGTTTTGGATTTTTTCCCCTAGAAGTGAGTTATTCAACTAAAAGTATCAGTTCAAAAATGAACAATTTAGAGGCCCTTGGCACATATTTCCAAATTGCTTCATGAAAAAATTGAATAAACTTCCATTAACAAAGAGTAGATAATAGCCTCATTCATACTTGCCATCATCAAATATTATGATATTTTGTTTTGCTGATTTCATAGTAAAGATTTTATTTACTGCCAGTGATATTGAACATATTTGTATTATTAGATTTTTTGTTTTCCCTTTTTTGTCCTTTTTCAGATTTTATTATTGGTATCTGCATGTGTGATGGTTGTAAATTTCTAAATTAGGAGTTTCCTATCTTCAGTTCACAGAAATAAATTATGAGAAAATTATTATGACTTACTTTATTAGCAATAAATTCATAGATATAGAAACAAATGGAGAGATATGGAAGAAAAGAGTAAGATCTAAATGTAAATATTCTCTCTAGCTTCTAGGAATGTGGAAGCTCCTACTCCCCAGAGCCTTCCCTGTCTTAGGATTACCATAGACTTTTCAGAGGAAAGTTTGATGAGTAGCCTCCCAACAAAGTAGGGAGGAGACAAATTTTAATCTAACATCAGAAAATAAAATTGAATTATTGGGTATGGACACAGAGGATACAGTCTTGATGGAAATTTCTCATAAAAATATTTATGATTATGTAACACAATAGATTTCAAGCACTTTCATATTCATGGTATCATTCAATATTTATAAAAATATTAGAACACAGAAAAAGAAGTGGACAGGGAATATACACAACAGTGTGAATCCATGTAGCTTTTGGAATTATGGAATATTTCATTTTTCATGTTGTGAGATGTGATGTTTCTGGAATGATAATGGCACACTAAGGAGATAAAAAGAAAAGACTGTATAGGTAAACATGAAAATGTCTTTCACTGAACCCATTGCTGTACCCTTCTCCAAGGAGAAAAAGAAGATATGGAGGGAAAATTCTTTTTTGCATTTCATAAGAGTATTAGTAGCCACGATGAATAAGCAGAGATCTGGGCCTTGGAGATCTGTACCAGTGGAAACACCTTGGTCTGATTCAGAGCATTACCTTGTAATGGCACTAGGACCAGGGGTTGCCATATCACTGCTTGGCTAATGCTAATATCAATGATGATGGGATAACTTCAACTTAATCAGGATTAAAGTTGTGTCTGTGATGGTTAACAGCAGAGAGCTGCTGAAGCAATGGCCTTTTGTTGCAGTTGGCACCTCTATGGAGCTATGGAAGCCAGTGGCCACATAGTTCTAGTTTGGCTGACTTCAAAAAAGCAGGGGAACCATAATTTTTTTCATGGACGGGGATAAGACACTCCTGGAGGGCTTCCTAAATTATCTTGGAAAGAAGAACTTTGTAAGGGCCAACGTTCCATCCAGCCAGAAGCATCAAGAGCCGTTATAATTTCAACATTGTAGTAATCATTTCACAGAGTATATGCCCAGCTAAAAATAATGCCCTTAATTTCTTCTCTCACACACAATGGTTTATTTCAATTACCTACATTTGTGCTAAGTAGCCCCTCCTCTTGGACATGGTTGATTGGAACAGAGAGGATGTCTGACACAAACCATGCAGGTCATTGGTAATGTAAGCCAGGAAACTGTGTGCTTTCTACCTTTCATTCCCTGTGTAAACTAAATAGCAGAGAAAGCAGCTTTTCAGAGAGTGAAGAATGACACAGCCTTTTGGCTCTCTGGAATCCCAGGCTCCTGACAATTATCAGGCTCTGCTTCTGGCCTTTCATAGTTCAGCAGCACCCTGCTCTTGAAATCTAAAATATTTAGTTATCTTAAAAATCTAGGATTACAATAGCTCTAGCTGGCTCATTTTTTTGGGAAAAAAAGCAGTTCCAACTAATTATATATTAATATTAATGACATCTATTATATTTTCGTTATATCTCCATGCACTTAGGAGGTGCATGTACACATTGTGTTCATTGAATTCTTCTCTCATAAAATAGGAACCTCACCTCTTAGAATTCTTAGAATTAAGCACATGTTTTGAACATGGAAACAGTTCTCTTAAAACATTTTTTTAAATTTTTAACTCGTATGGATACATAGATATATTGATGGAGTACGTGAGTGTTTTGATACAGGCATACAATGCGTAATAATCACATAAGAGTAAGTGGAGTGTGCATAATTCCATCATCTCAAGCACTTATCCTTTCTTCATGCTATAAACAATCCAGTTGTACTTTTTTTTTTTTTTTTTTGAGATGGAGTCTTGTTCTGTCACCCAGGCTGAAGTGCAGTGGTGCAAACTCGGCTCACTGTAACCTCCGTCTCCTAGGTTCAAGCGATCCTTCAGCCTCAGCCTCTCAAATAGCTGCAACTACAGGCATGTACCACCACAATCGGCTTTTTGTATTTTTAGTAGAGACGGGGTTTCACCACGTTGGCCAGCCTGGTCTCAAACTCCTTACCTCAAGTGATTCTCCAGCCTCAGCTTCCCAAAGTGCTGGATTACAGGAATGAGCCACAGTGCCCAGCTCAGTTACAGTCTTTTCATTATTTTGAAATGTACAGTAAATCATTGTTGGCTGTAATCACCTGTTGTGGGACAAAATACTAGATCTTATTCATTCTATCTAATTATATTTTTGTACCCATCAACCATCCCCATTTCCCCTGCTTCACTACCCTTCGCAGCCTCTGGTACCCATTGTTCTACGCTATATCTCCAAGAATTCAAGTGTTTTAATTTTTAGCTCCCACAAATAAGTGAGAACATGTGAAGCTTGTCTTTCTGTGCCTGGCTTATTTTATTTAACATAGTGACCTCCAGATTTGTCCATGTTGTTGCAGATAACAGCATCTCATTCTTTTTATGGCTGAATAGTACTCCATTATGTATAAGTGCCACATTTTCTTTATCCATTCACCTGTTGAAGAAAACTTAGGTTGCCTCCAAATCTTGACTATTGGGAATAGTGCTGCAATAAACATGGGAGTGCGAGTATCTCTTCAATATACTGATTATCTTTCTTTTGTGTATATGCTTAGCAGTGGGATTGCTGGCTCATATAAAAGTTCTATTTTTAGTGTTCTGAGGAACCTCCAAACTGTTCTCCATAGGGGTTGTACTAACTTATATTCCCACAAACAATATTCAAGAGTTCCCTTTTCTCCACACCTCCTCAAGCATTTGCTATTGCCTGTTTTTTGGGGAAAGAAAAGCCATTTTAACTGAGATGAGATATCTCATTGTAGTTTTGATTTGCATTTCTCTGATGATCAATGATATTGAGCATTTTTTCATACACCTGTTTGTCATTTGTGTCTTCTTTTAGGAAGTGTCTATTCAGATTTATTGCCCAATTCTAATTGGATTAGATTTTTTTTTCCTATAGAGTTGTTTGGGATCCTTATATATTCATGTTATTAATCCCTTGTCAAATGGATAGTTTGCAAATATTTTCTATGGGTTGTTTCTTCACTTTTTTTTTCTGTGCAGAAGCTTTTTAACTTAATGTGATTTCATTTGTCTATTTTTGCCTTGGTTGTTTGTGCTTGTAGGGTGTTACTCAAGAAATCTTTCCCCAGTCCAATGCCATGGAAAGTTTCCCCAGAGTTTTCTTTTAGCAGTTTCATAATTTGAGGTCTTAGATTTAAGTCTTTAATCCATTTTGACTTGATTTTTGTATATAGTGAAAGATAGAGGGTTTAGTTTCATTCATCTACTTATGGATATCCAGTTTTCCCAGCACTATGTATTGGAGTCTGTCCTTTCCCCAATGTATGCTCTTGGCACCTTTGTCAAAAATTAGTTTATGTAGGCGTATGGATTTGTTTCTGAGTTCTCCATTGTGTTTCATTGGTCTGTGTCTTCTTTTATACCAGTATCATCCTGTTTTGGTTACAATAGCTCTAGTATTATTTGAAGTCAGTTAATGTAATTCCTTCAGCTTTGTTCTTTTTACTCAGTTTAGCTTTGGCTATTGTGGGTCTTCTGTGGATCTATATAAATTTTAGCATTTTTTTTCTATTTCTGGAAGAATATCATTGGTATTTTAAAATAGGTTACATTGGATATGTAGATTGCTCTAAGTAGTATAGACATTTTAACAATATTGATACTTACAATCCATGACCATGGAATATCTTGTGTGTGTGTGTGTGTGTGTGTGTGTGTGTCCTCTTCAATTTCTTTCATCAATGTTATATGGTTTTCATTGTAGAGATCTTTCCTTCTTTGATAAGTTAATTTATAGTCATTTAATTATATTTGTATCTATAGTTTGAAAGTTTGTGAATGATGTCACTTTCTTGATTTGTCTTTTACATTTTTCGCCATTGGTGTATAGAAATGCTACTAATTTTTGTGTGTTGATTTTTCTTATCCTGCAACATTACTGAATTTATTCATGAATTCTAATAGTTTTTTGGTGGTATCGTTAGGTTTTTCCAAATTTAAGATTGCATAATATGCAAACAAGGATAATTTGACTTCATCCTTTCTAATTTGGATGCCCTTATTTCTTTCTCTTGTCTGATTGCTCTAGCGAAGACTTTCAGTTCTTTGTTCAGAAACAGTGGTGAAAGTGGGCATCATTGTTGGGTTCCAGAACTTAAAGGAAAAGCTTTCAGTTTTTCCCCATTCACTATGGTACTATCCGTCATGTACAGCTTTTATTGTGCTGAGATATCTTCCTTCTATATACAGTTTTGGGAGGGTTTTTATTATGAAAAGATGATGAACTTTATCAAATGGGTTTTCAGCATCAATTGAAATGATCATTTGGTTTTTGTTCATTATTTTGTTGATATGATGTATCACAATGATTGATTTGTACATGTTGAACATCCTCACATCCCTGTGATAAATCCCACGTGGTCAAGATGAACGACATTTTTAATGTGTTGTTGAGCTCAGATTGCCAGTATTTTCTTGAGGATTTTTGCATCAATGTTCATCAGGAATACTGGCTTGTCATTTTCTCTTTTGATGTGTCTTTGTCTAGTATTGGTAAAAGGGAAATGTTAGCCTTGCGGAATGAGTTTGGAACTATTCCCTCCTTATCTATTTTTTGGAATAGTTTGAATAGGATTGGTGTTAGTTCTTTAAATGTTTGGTAATTTAGGTCCCAGGCTTTTCTTTGCTATGAGATTTTTTTTATTACAACTTCGATTTTGTTACTTGTTATTGGTATATTTGGGAGTTGGATTTCTTCATAGTTCAATCTTGGTAGGTTGTATGTTTCTAGGAATTTATCCATTTCTTCTTGGTTATCCAATTTATTGGCATATACTTGCTCATAGTAGCCTCTAATGAGCCTTTGAATTTCTGCAGTATTGATTGCAATGTTTCCTGTTACATCTCCTACTTTATTTTTGGGGTTTTTTCTCCTGTTTTCTTAGTCTGGTTTACTTTACAATTTTTACTTTAAAAAAAAAAACCAACTTTTCATTTCATTGATTTTTATATTGTTTTATTTATTTTAATTTCATTTATTTATTCACTAATCTTAGTATTTCTTTATTTCTACTAATGCTGGGTTTGAATTGTTCTTGCTTTTCTAGTTATTTATGATGCATTCTTAGGTTATTTGAACTTTTTCTACTTTGTTGACATAGGCACTTATAGCTATGAACTTCTCCTTTAGCACTATTTTGCTGTATCCCATGGGTTTTGGTGTTGTGTTTCCATTATCATTTGTTTCAAAAAAAGTTTTAATTTCTTAATTTCTTCATTGACCCACTGATCATTCAGGAAATTAAAATTGTTTAATTTTCATGTGCGTACACTTTCTAAAATTCCTCCTGTTATTGATTTCTAGTTTTATTCCATTGTGGTTAGAGAAGATACTTAATATAATTTCAATTTTTTGAATGTTGTAAGACTTGTTTTGTGGCCTAACATATGATCTATCCTTGAGACTGATCCATGTGCTTAGGAAAAGAATGTGTATTCTGCAGCCATTGGATGAAATGTTCTATAAATATCTACTAGGTCCTTTTGGTCTATAGTGCATATTAAGTCCAACGTTTCTTTGTTAAATTTCTGTCTGGATGATCTGTCCAATGCTAAAAGTGTGATGTTGAACTCTCCAGCTATTACTGTATTAAGGTCTGTATCTCTCTTTAGCTGTAATAATATTTGCTTTACATATGTATGCTCCAGTGTTAGGTGCATATATATTTACTGTTGTTTTATCATGTTGCTGAATTGACCCTTTTGTCATTATATAATGACCTTCTTTGTTTCTTTTTATAGTGTGTGTCTTGAAATCTATTTTGTCTGACATAAGGATAGCTACTTCTGCTCTTTTTTTGGTTTCCATTGGCATGGAATATCTTTTTCCATTCTTTTATTTTCAGTCTATGTGTGTCTTTATAGGTGATGTGTGTTTCTTGTCAGCAATAGATGCCTGAGTCTTGTTTTATTTTTTTTAAATCTATCCAGCCACTCTGTCTTTTGAATGGAAAGTTTAGTCTATTTACAATCAATGTTATTACTAATAAGTAATGATTTACTCCTGCCATATTGTTATTTGTTTTCTAGTTGTTTTGTGGTCTTTCTTCTATCCTTCTTCCCTGCCCTATTTTTAATGAAGGTGATTTTCTGTTGTGGTATGTTTTAAGTTCTTGCTTTTTATTTTTTGTATATTTCTTATATGTTTTTTGATTTGAGGTTATCATGAGACTTGTAAATAATATCTTACAAACTATTATTTTAAACTGATGACAACTTGACACTGCTTGCATAAACATACCACAAGAAAAGCAAAGAAAAATATAATTCAAACTTTTTTTTCCCCCACTTCTTAAAGTTTGTTGTTTCTATTCATATCTTATTACTATAGTTTCTATTCATTCCTATTACTGTGTGTGTCTTGAAACGTTGTTTTAGTCATTATTTTTGATTGGTTCATCTTTAATCTTTCTACTCATGACATTAGTAGTGTACATGTCACAATTGCAATATTATAATTTTCTGTGTTTCTCTGTGCATTTACTATTACCAATGAGTTTTGTACTTTCAGATGATTTCTTATTGCTCATTAATGTTCTTTTCTTTCAGATTGATGAACTCCCTTTAGCATTTCTTGTAGGACAGGTCTGGTGCTGATGAAATCCCCCAGCTTTTGTTTGCTTGGGAAAGTCTTTATTTCTCCTTCCTGTTTGAAAGATATTTTTACCAGATATATTATTCTAGGGTAAAAGCTTTTTTTTTTTTTTCCTTTAACACTTTAAATATGTCATGTCACTCTCTCCTGGCCTGTAATGTTTCCACTGAGAAATCTGTTGTCACATGTATTAGAACTCCACTATACATTAATTGTTTCTTGTTTATTGTTGTTTTAGTATCCTTTCTTTACCCTTACTTTTGGAATTTTTATTATTAAATGTCTTGAGGTTGTCTTATTTGAGTTCAATCTGCTTTTTGTTCTATAACCTTCTTATATTTGAATATTCATATCTTTCTCTAGGTTTGGGAAGTTCTCTTTTATTATCCCTTTAAATTAAACTTTTTAACTCATCTCTGTCTCTTCTTTAAGGCTAATAACTCTCGGATTTTCCCTTTTGAGGCTGTTTTCTAGATATCATGGGTGTGCTTCATTCTTTTTCAGTCTTTTGAATTTTATCTCCCCTGACTGTGTATTTTCAAGCAGTCTGTCTTCAATTCTTTCTGTCTGTCTCACTAATTCTTTCTTCTGCCCAGTCAATTCTGCTGTAAAGAGACTCTAATGAATTCTTTGGTATGTCAATTGCATTTGTCAACTCTAGAAATTCTGCTTGATTCTTTCTAATTATTTCAATCTCTTCGTCAAATTTATCTGATAGGATACTGAATTTCTTCTCTGTGTTAGCTTAAATTTCTTTGAGTTTCCTTAAAACGGCTATTTTACATTCTCTCTCTGAAAGGTCACATACCTCTGCCTCTTTATGATTGGTCACTGGTGCCTTATTTAGTTTACATGGTGATGTCATGTTTTCCTAAATGATCTTGATGGTTGTGGATATTAGTCAGCGTCTGGGCATTTATTGAAGTCTTTGAAGTCTGGGCTTATTTGTACCCATCCTTTTTGATAAGGCTTTCCAGGTAGTAGTCAAAGGGACTCAGATTTTATGATCTAAGTATTTGTTCACTGTAGTTGTATCTGCATTAGGGGGTCATCCAAAATCCAGTAATGCTTTGGTTCTTACAGACTTGTAGAGGCACAACCTTGGTGGTCTTGTATAAAATCTGGAAGAATTCTCCAGATCATTAGACGTACTCTTGTTCTCTTCCTTATTTCTCCCAAACAAATGGATTCTGCTGAGGTAACGAGCTGGGGAAGGGGTGACACAAGCACCCCTGTGGCCGCTACAACTGGGACTGCACTAGGTCAGTCCTGAAGCCAGCACAGCACTGGATCTCACTCAGAGCTTGTGGTAACTACTGCCTGGCTACTGCCTATGTTTTCTCAAGGCCCTAGGGCTCTACAGTCAACAGCTGGCAAAGCCAGCTTGGCTTGTGCCCTTTCTTTCAGGGCAGTGATTTCTCCCTGATCCCAAGTGAGTCCACAGCTGCCATCTGTGAGCCCGGGCCTGGAGTCAGGTACCTTAGGAGAGTCTACCTGGTGCTCTATTCCACTGCAGCTGAGCTGACATCCAAATCACAAGGCAAAGTCCTCCCACTCTTCCTCCCATTTGCACAAGCAGAAGAGTCACTACCCACAGACACCACCACCCCAGGCCTGCAGTGAGTACTGTCTGGCTACTACTGAGGTTCATTTAAGGCCCAAGGGCAATTCAATCAGCTTGTGGTGAATGTTACCAGGCCTGAAACTCTCCTTTCAGGATGGCAGGCTCTTCTCTGGCTCAGAGCAAGTCCAAAAATGCTGTCCAAGAGCCAAGGCCTGGAATCAGGGACCCCAAAAACACACGTAGTACCCTACTTACCCCACTGTGGCCAAACTGGTAACTAAGATGCAAGACAAAGTCCCCTTTACTCTTTCTTATCTTTTTCCCAAACAGAGGAATTCTTCATTTTAGCCATCACAGCTGGGACTGTGCTGGGTCACACCTGAAAGCCAGCACAGCTCTGAGTCTCATTCAATGCCCACGGCAAGTACTGCCTGGGTAATGCTGCTAATTATTCAGGACCCAAGGACTCTTTAGCCAGCCCATGATGAATCCTGTCCAGACTGAGTCCTTCCCTTCAAGGCAGCAGGTTCCCTTCCAGCTCAGGGTGTGTTTAGAAATGTAATCTGGAAGCTAGGGCCCGGAATGGAAACCCCTGCCTGGTACTCTATCCTACTGTGGCTGAGCTAATATCCAAGTTGTGTGTCAAAGTCCTCTTTTCCCTCTCCTTTTCTCAAGTGGAAGTAAGGAGTCTTTCCTGGAGCTGCAAGCTGTGCTGCTTGGGGTTGCGGGAGGGGTGATACAAGTACCCCTGGTGTCCCACTGGTTTGTGTGTCCCTCAGGTCGCTGCCTCTGACCCTAGCACAACACCAGGACTTGCCCCAGAATTGAAGTCCTTGCAGCCTAGACTGGCTTTCAAGTTTGTTTAGGACCTTGGAGCACTTTGGCCTAATGGTGGCAAGGCTTGCTGGAGCTCAGGTTCCAACCACTGTGGTGGATAATTCCTCTCTGGCTAGGGCTAGTCTAGTTGCTCCCTCTGTGCACATTGGCTGAGTTTTGCCTAGTGTTGCTTTCCATTATGATAGCACAGCACTGAGTTTCAGTGCAAGGCCCCACTATCACTGCTCTCTCCCTCCCTCAAGTGCACAGATTCTGTCTGTATGATATGTGGCTGCTGCCAGGGGATTAAGGGAGTGGTGGCATCAGCAATTCAATATTGTCTTTCTTCCCCTCCTCAGTGCCTCTTTTGGTGATATGAAGTTAAAACCAGTTACTGTGATCACTCCTCTGATTTTCTGGTTCTTATGAAGATTTTTTTTTTTTTTTTTTTGGTGTGGATAGTTGTTCATTTTGGTGTTCTTGTAGGGAAGATGATTGGTAAAGGTTTCTACTTGGCCACCCTGCTCTGAGGGCAACCTCCAGTTCTCATTTTTGAGAACCTAAATAGTAGAAAATTACTTTATCTGGAATCTTATAAAGGTAGTCAACCATTAGTTGTGAAATGGAGTATATGAAATTTAAAATCTATATGTCCCCTTATATTTTGCATCTAAATGAACTATTGTAAGTCTATTATTTAGCACTGTATTTTATTTCACAAAATATATATTTATTATTAGCACCACTCTAATAAAGGGAAATTTGAGGAAAATATAATGTAAACTCCCTTTATTCAATATTTAATATCAGCATTTTCTGTGTGTGGAAAACAAATGAAGAAGAGAATAATGTGTCTTCAAGGCAGGAGCAACCATAGACAGAATAACAGGCTTGAAAGAACTTTGATCTGCAGCAGAAGCTTCCTGCAGCTACTGACTTCACAGAGACAGGGAGGTAATGAGATTCCTGGAGAGGAACACTGCAAAGTAGGTAGATTCATTGAGCCCAACACAGTTGCTGTGCATTAATTTTCAGATAATGGAGCATAACTAAAATCAGTACAGGCTGAGGGCTGCAATCTAGACTTCAAGTTTAGAAGAAGTCAGTGGAACATGAAGAGTAGACGATGTTCACTGCCAGAGAGTTAAAAAAAATATCCTAGGCAGCAGTGATCAAAATCAGATGTGTTGCTATAGTAAACTTATTAACTGTCTTTTAGAGTGATAAAATTGTATAATGAATTTAAAGATATTGATTCTAAATGTAAACACTATTTTTGTGTAGAGTCTTAAATTTTTCTAATGGAAATTTCATAGGATATTGGTTTATTTATTCAATGAATATAAATACAACTCAGTATTTGCTATGTGTCAAGAGCTAAGCATGGAGACATAAACAAAACCACATCACTTCCTTCTAGGAGCTCAGAGTCCACTTGGTGAAATAAAACACCAGTGATTCCAGAAGAACATGGAGGGTGCTGCACGAGATGTTAGGGATATGGAGAAGATGGCCTTACTCGGCTCAGACTGGGAAAGGGGTTTCAAGAAAAGATTTTATTCATGAAATTATCCTTGGTCTCAACGTTTCTCACAGGAGGTGAACTGCTTTTTTGTTGATTGCACTGCCAAAATCTGAAGGAGACCTATATTTCTAAACAAAGCTTCTGTGTTTTTTTCTGGGCAATATGCTTGGGCTTTGTGGTAGACTCAAAATTATCTATTGAGAGATTCAGATACTCCATGAAGGATTTATATAAATATACATATTTTCCCGTGGCAGTCTTAAGAGTCAATAGAAATGACTCTACCTGGACTATGTCAATTATTCCATATGCCAATTATGCCCAAATTGTGAATCACATGGAGGTGTTGTGTATTGTGTGTTTGTGTATAATAATATACATTTTTTATGTGTGTATATACACAGGATACTGAAATGAGGGTGGATCTGAATATTTTCCAGGACAGATGTAGGGTAGTCTTGTTAGAAATAAGTATGCAATGATGACAAGTCTTAAACCCCTTTCTTCTTGAAGACGGATTAAACAAAAGATTTATTTCCAGTGAATCAAGTTGAGAAAGAAAAGAAAAGTAGCATTACAGTGGAGAAAACTGGCAAAAACTAACATTAATCAGTAATGTCATGTGGATATCATGCCCATCCTGATATGATATGATGAGAAGAGTGCTTCAGCTCTTTGGTACTTTTTTTCTACAAACCTATAACCCCAGACTAATCATGAGAAAACTATTAGACAAATCTAGAATGGAGGACATTCTCCAGGATACTTTGACAGCACTAGTTGCGATTGTCAGTGTCCTGAAAAACAAGGAAAAACAGAAACCATCACAGACCAGGGTAGCCTGGGAAGACATGCTTACTAAATGCAATGTAGTAACCTCAGTTGGATCATGGAACAGAAAGAGGATATTAATGGAAAGTCCGGTGAAATATAAATAAAGTATGTAGTATAGTTAAATAATCATTACCAATATTGGTTATTAGCGTTGACAAAACTTAGTTTGTACCACATTAGTGTAATGTGCAAATAATGGGGAAAACTGAATGAAGGATGTACAGGAATGCTGAACCATTTTTGAAATTTTTCTGTAAGTCTAAAATTATTTCCCTCCCCTCCAGAAAAAAATTCCTTGTGGGGAAATACCAAATATGATAGTTATAATGCTTAATTTCTAATTTACCAATACTTATGTTTCACTTCAAACTCATCCAACAAATGAATCAGAATGTTTTGTAATTTAATGACAATGTTCTGTTGAGACTTTGTAGATGTGAGTGAAAGAGAACCAATGATAATAAATGACAGAAATTATTAATACCCGCAATTGGATACAATGCATCTCTTTTAAATGAAATTTGCCTTAATAGCATATGTATTTTTTTTCTGTATTTAGCTACAATTAGCAGTGCCATGTAGATAGGGGATGACTATTTACAAAAGTCATTTAAATATAGTACAAAATCCTTTTCACACAAATTTCAAATGTTGTCAACCTAACAAATTTTTAAAAAATAAAAATGTGCAATCACCCCAACTTTCTATCACAGCTGATGTTACCTAGCATTAGAAAAATATATGGTGATTTATAACTAATAAATAGTTGAAGGCTTGAATGGTAGAGTTTTAGACAGTTGTTATATATGTATATGTGTGTATGTATGTGTATATAAACATTATTATATTTAAATGCACACATCTGAAATAGAGAGTACCTTCTTTCTTAACTTTCTTGACTGCAAACCCTCAGTTAAAGCTATCTCGTTATAAGTGGCTTGCTAGTATTCTTAGAGGTATTAATATCCAGATTATTGAGCCTCACAATGTGCTACCTAGCAATGCCTTGACACCCATGACTCTAGTGATCCTTTCCACTTTAGTTCAGTTAGTCGTTAGCACAGCCACAGCTTAGAACTCATCATCACGCTCTCCTCTTAGACCATAGCATTTGGAAGAAGTATATGATAATAAAAAGGATTCTAGGACTGTAATAAAATACTAAGTTGAATTAACAGAAAGCAGTGATATTCACAAGTTTTTACAAAAACAAAAATGAAAATTTTATATATCCAGCCTAATATACAAATATTACAGTGGTATTAACTTCACATCTCTTCACATCTTTTTGATCTACTGAAATCACATTTATCTACCTCGTGATTTGCCTAATCTCTGGAAATCAACAGAATAAAATGGACTTTTACCAAGTGTGATGTGAGCTTGAAATCCAAGAATTGTGGCTCCTTTTATTCATGGTATAATTCAGAAACATTTTTCTGGTTCTCTGAGCTCCACTTATGCATTGGGGAAAAATGATAAATTGATATATCATATTTTATCCTTAACATGTTTTTAGGAAGATTACATAAGTGTAAAAATATACAGTAGAGATACATGGTGGATTTTTAACAAATAGTAATTCTTTCTTTATATATTCTGGCAGTAGTACCCTCTGAATCTCAAGGTAAACCATCAAAAACATTACAGGACCTAATTGGAGATCTTTTTTTTAGCAAGTAATTAATGAACTCCTATGTGTCTGGTACTATGTCGTGTTCTGATGATAAATGGTTAATAAGCAAACTTACTATTTAATCAGAAAGCCCAGCAGAAAAAAAGTCAATAAACACATGAAATTAAAATTGCAATAAATGCAAAGGCTTTGAATAAGCAAATGTGTGAAAAATAATAGAACAAGAAGGAGGCATGCCTCTTTTCTATCTATTTCTCTTCCTCTCTTTTCCTCTCTCTCTCTCTCTCACACACACACACCTCTGTCTTCCCAAACCGATATTTGATTCCACTCTGAAGCTTCTGAGTTGGTTAATTTTGACAAAGAAAGTCAAAACACGTGGCCAATTACTTCAACTATAACATATTATAGTTGAACCTTACTGGTATTTTTAAACCCTAAATTAAAGGTCTCATAAGAAACAAAGACGTTTTCAGCAACGCAAAATATATTTTCATATTCAACCAATATGGGTTGGCAGGCTGGATTATTTCAATCATACTTCTTATTTAGAGAGGCGGTTTTGAAGAAGGGGGTTGACAATTGCTTCTCAAAGAAGAAGAGAAGAAGAATGCAGCAGGAAAGCAAGTAGAGACCAGAAAAGGAGATTCTGGATTTGCCAGAGGGAAAGGTGCCGGGCAGTGTGATCACTCATAATAACCAGCCCCTTCTTTCTGGCTTTAATTATTTTCTGCTAAGTTCTCCTTTACCCTCGTTTTGCTCATTTTACTTTAGTGTGTGCTTTGTGTTCCTAAAGAAATATTATTTTAAAAGCTTGCTTACCCATCATTTCCAGAAGCTAAATTTTTTTCTTCCCATGGGCCCTCCCGTAAACTTCATATCTTCTCTAAATTCCCATACCTATTTATCATTCTGCTTCTCATGTTCCTTAAAGCTTTTAACCTTGAACTGTCATCGCTCAGATATATGTATCATTTCCTCTATGAGACTTTACCCCTTTAAGATCAGTGATCATATTTTATATGTCCACATCATTCAAAATGTTTATCAAATTGCCTTGTATAAGGTACATATTTTTAAAAGGTTTGAAATAATAAATTTGACACAATAAATGTTTATCCATAGACTGTTTTGATTATCACTAAAGGACCTTATTTCTACAGCTACAATCAGAGTGTTTTTCACATCAAAAATCATTAAGTTTTCTCTAGTAAATATGTTTTATTCAGGCTGTGCTTCCAAACTGGAATAGATAATGTTGAAGATCACGAATACGGCTACCTTGAAGTTAATAAAACTTTTAACAAAGTTAAGATTGAAACAAAGGATTTAATCCCTAAAGGACTGTAAAAATGTACAAGATTCTTTAACTGACAATTTTTTTACAGCAGAGCTATCTCTATTGATTTCATCAATGAATCTAGAAACAGCAGAGATATGATTAAACATTGAAAAATTGCAAATGAAAATTGCTTTAATAAATGCAATGATATTGTTATTTAATATGCAACATTGGAACGTTAGCAATATGCATTTTATTTATTAATACCTACATGAATCTCTCAAATTATTTGTAGTGTTTTTAAATTTTAGATTCAGGGGGTACATGTGCTTGTTTATTACATGGTTATTACGTGTATAATGGTGGGGTTTGGGCTTCTAGTGCACCCATCACCCAAATTGAACATTGTATGCAGTAGATAATTTTTCAACCTTCATCCCCCGCCACCACCCTTCCCCTTTTTGGAATCTCCACAGTCTATTCTTCCCTCTTTATGTCCATGTGTACCTGTTGTGCTCCCACTTATAAGTGAGAACACCTGATATTGGATTTTCTGTTTCTGAGTTAGCTCATTTAGGATAATGACCTCCAGATCCATCCATGTTGCCTCAAAGAACATGATTTCAGAGGAATACAATTAGACTCCTATCTCTCACCATATACAAAAATTAAATCAAAGTATATTAAAAACCCAAATGTAGAGGCAGTTCCAAGATGGCCGGATAGAAACAGCTCCAGTCTACAGCTCCCAGCATGAGCAACACAGAAGAAAGATGATTTCTGCATTACCAACTGAGGTACTGGGTTCATCTCACTGGGGAGTGTCAGACAGTGGGTGCAGGACAGTGGGTGCAGTGCACCAAGCATGAGCCGAAGCAGGGCGAGGCATCACCTCACCCAGGAAGTGCAAGGGGTCAGGGAATTCCCTTTCCTAGCCAAGGAAATGGGTGACAGATGGCACCTGGAAAATCGGGTCACTCCCACACTAATACTGAGCTTTTCCAACGGTTTTAGCAAATGGCACACCAGGAGATTATATCCTGCACCCGGCTTGGAGGGTCCTATGCCCACAGAGCCTCGCTCATTGCTAGCACAGCAGTCTGAGATCAAACTGCAAGGTGGCAGCGAGGCTGGGGGAGGGGTGCCCACCATTGCTGAGGCTTGAACAGGTAAACAAAGCGGCCAGGAAGCTCGAATTGAGTGGAGCCCACTGCAGCTCAAGGAGACCTGCCTGCCTCTGTAGACTCCACCTCTGGAGGCAGGGCATAGCCAAACAAAAGGCAGCAGAAACCTCTGCAGACTTAAATGTCCCTGTCTGACAGGTTTAAAGAGAGTAGTGGTTCTCCCAGCACACAGCGTGAGATCTGAGAACGGACAGACTGCCTCCTCAAGTGTGTCCCTGACCCCCGAGTAGCCTAACTCGGAGGCACCCCCCAGTAGGGGCAGACTGACACCTCACACGGCCGAGTACCCCTCCGAGGAAAAACTTCCAGAGAAATGATCAACAGCAACATTTGCTGTTCACCACTATTCGCTGATCTGCAGCCTCTGCTGCTGATACCCAGGCAAACAGGATCTGAAGTGGGCCTCTGGCAAACTCCAACAGACCTGCAGCTGAGGGTCCTGACTGTTAGAAGGAAAACTAACAAACAGAAAGGACAACAACACCAAAACCCCATCTGTATGTCACCATCATCAAAGACCAAAGGTAGATAAAACCACAAAGCTGGGGAAAAAACAGAGCAGAAAAACTGAAAATTCTAAAAATCAGAGCACTTCTCCTCCTCCAAAGGAGCGCAGCTCCTCACCAGCAACGGAGCAAAGCTGGACGGAGACTGACTTTGACAAGTTGAGAGAAGAAGGCTTCAGAAGATCAAACTACTCCGAGCTAAAGGAGGAACTTCAAACCCATGGCAAAGAAGTTAAAAACCTTGAAAAAAAATTAGACGAATGGATAACTAGAATAACCAATGCAGAGAAGTCCTTAAAGGGCCTGATGGAGCTGAAAATCATGGCATGAGAACTACGTGATGCATGCACAAGCTTCAGTAGCTGATTCAATCAACTGGAAGAAAGGGTATCAGTGATGGAGGATCAAATGAATGAAATGAAGTGAGAAGAGAAGTTTAGAGAAAAAAGAATAAAAAGAAATGAACAAAGCCTCCAAGAAATATGGGACTATGTGAGAAGACCAAATCTATGTCTGATTGGTATATCTGAAAGTGACGGGGAGAATGGAACCAAGTTGGAAAACACTCTGCAGGATATTATCCAGGAGAACTTCCCCAATCTAGCAAGGCAGGCCAACATTCAAATTCAGGAAATACAGAGAATGCCACAAAGATACTCCTTGAGAAGAGTAACTCCAAGACACATAATTGTCAGATTCACCAAAGTTGAAATGAAGGAAAAAATGTTAAGGGCAGTCAGAGAGAAAGGTCGGGTTACCCACAAAGGGAAGCCCATCAGACTAACAGTTGATCTCTCGGCAGAAACTCTACAAGCCAGAAGAGAGTGGGGACCAATATTCAACATTCTTAAAGAAAAGAATTTTCAACCCAGAATTTCATATCCAGCCAAACTAAGCTTCATAAATGAAGGAGAAATAAAATACTTTACAGAGAAGCAAATGTTGGGAGATTTTGTCACCACCAGGCCTGTCCTACAAGAGCTCCTGAAGCAAGCACTGAACATGGAAAGGAACAACTGGTACCGTCCACTGCAAAGACATGCCAAATTGTAAAGACCATCAAGGCTAGGAAGAAACTGCATCAACTAACAAGCAAAATAACCAGCTAACATCATAATGACAGGATCAAATTCACACATAACAATATTAACCTTAAATGTAAATGGGCTAAATTCTCCAATTAAAACACACAGACTGGCAAATTGGATAAAGAGTCAAGACCCATCAGTGCGCTGTATTCAGGAAACCCATCTCACATGCAGAGACACACATAGGCTCAAAATAAAGGGATGGAGGAAGATCTTCCAAGCAAATGAAAAACAAAAAAAGGCAGGGGTTGCAATCCTAGTCTCTGATAAAACAGACTTTAAACCAAACAAAGATCAAAAGAGACAAAGAAGGCCATTACATAATGGTAAAGGGATCAATTCAACAAGAAGAGCTAACTATCCTAAATATATATGCACCCAATACAGGAGCACCTAGATTCATAAAGCAAGTCCTTAGAGACCTACAAAGAGACTTAGACTCCCACACAATAATAACGGGAGACTTTAACACCACACTGTCAACATTAGGCAGATCCACAAGACAGAAAGTTAACAAGGATATCCAGGAATTGAACTCACCTTTGCACCAAGCAGACCTAATAGACATCTACAGAACTCTCCACCCCAAATCAACAGAATATACATTCTTCTCAGCACCACACCACACTTACTCCAAAATTGACCACATAGTTGGAAGTAAAGCACTCCTCAGCAAATGTAAAAGGATAGAAAGTATAACAAACTGTCTCTCAGAGCACAGTGCAATCAAACTAGAACTCAGGATCAAGAAACTCACTCAAAACCACTCAACTACATGGAAACTGAACAACGTGCTCCTGAATGACTACTGGGTACATAACGAAATGGAGGCAGAAATAAAGATGTTCTTTGAAACCAACAAGAACAAAGACACAACATACCAGAATCTCTGGGACACATTTAAAGCAGTGTGTAGAGGGAAATTTATAGCACTAAATGCCCACAAGAGAAAGCAGGAAAGATCTAAAATTGACACCCTAACATCACAATTAAAAGAACTGCAGAAGCAAGAGCAAACACATTCAAAACCTAGCAGAAGGCAAGAAATAACTAACATCAGAACAGAACTGAAGGAAAGAGAGAAACAAAAAACCCTTCAAAAAATCAATGAATCCAGGAGCTGGTTTTTTCTGAAAAGATCAACAAAATTGATAGACCGCTAGAAAGACTAATAAAGAAGAAAAGAGAGAAGAATCAAATAGACAATAAAAAAATGATGGAGGGGATATCACCACCAATCCCACAGAGACACAAACTACCAACAGAGAATACTATAAACACCTCTATGCAAATAAACTAGAAAATCTAGAAGAAAAGGATAAATTCCTGGACACATACACCCTCCTAAGATTAAACCAGGAAGAAGTTGAATCTTTGAATAGATCAATAACAGGCTCTGAAATTGAGGCAATAATTAATAGCTTACCAACCAAAAAAAGTCCACGACCAGATGGATTCACAGCCGAATTCTACCAGAGGTACAAGGAGGAGATGGTACCATTCCTTCTGAAACTATTCCAATCAATAGAAAAAGAGGGAATCCTCCCTAACTCATTTTATGAGGCCAGCATCATCCTGATACCAAAGCCTGGCAGAGACACAACCAAAAAAGAGAATTTTCGACCAATATCCCTGATGAACATCGATGCAAAAATCCTCAATAAAATACAGGCAAACCGAATCCAGCAGCACATCAAAAAGCTTATCCACCATGATCAAGTTGGCTTCATCCCTGAAATGCAAGGCTGGTTCAACATATGAAAATCAATAAATGTAATCCAGCATATAAACAGAACCAAAGACAAAAACCACATGATTATCTCAATAGATGCAGAAAGGGCCTTTGACAAAATTCAACAGCCCTTCATGCTAAAACTGTCAATAAATTAGGTATTGATGGGATGTATCTCAAAACAATGAGAGCTATTTATGACAAACCCACAGCCAATATCATACTAAATGGGCAAAAACTGGAAGCATTCCCTTTGAAAACTGGCACAAGACAGGGATGCCCTCTCTCACCACTCCTATTCAACATAGTGTTGGAAGTTCTGGCCAGGGCAATCAGGCAGGAGAAGGAAATAAAGGGTATTCAATTAGGAAAAGAGGAAGCTGAATTGTCCCTGTTAGCATGTGACATGATTGTATATCTAGAAAACCCCATCTTCTGAGCCCAAAATCTCCTTAAGCTGATAAGCAACTGCAGTAAAGTCTCAGGATACAAAATCAGTGTGCAAAAATCAAAAGCATTCTTATACACCAATAACAGACAAACAGAAAGCCAAATCATGAGTGAACTTCCATTCACAATTGCTTCAAAGAGAATAAAATACATAGGAATCCAACTTACAAAGGATGTGAAGGACTTCTTCAAGGAGAACTACAAACCACTGCTCAACAAAATAAAAGAGGACACAAACAAATGGAAGAATATTCCATGCTCATGGATAGGAAGACTCAATATCGTGAAAATGGCCATACTGCCCAAGGTAATTTATAGATTCACTGCCATCCCCTCAAGCTAACAATGACTTTCTTCACAGAATTGGAAAAAACTACTTTAAAGTTTATATGGGACCAAAAAAGAGCCCTCATTGCCCAGACAATGCTAAGCCAAAAGAACAAAGCTGGAGCATCACGCTACCTGAATTCAAACTATACTACAAGGCTACAGTAACCAAAACAGCATGGTACTGGTACCAAAACAGAGATATAGACCAATGGAACAGAACAGAGGCCTCAGAAATAATACCACACATCTACAACCATCTGATCTTTGACAATTCTGACAAAAACAAGAAATGGGGAAAGGATTCCCTATTCAATAAATGGTGCTGGGAAAATTGGCTAGCCATATGTAGAAAGCTGAAACAGGATCCCTTCCTTACACCTTATACAAAAATTAATTCAAGATGGATTAAAGACTTAAATGTCAGACCTAAAATCATAAAAGCCCTGGAAGGAAACCTAGGCAATAGCATTCAGGACATAGGCATGGGCAAGGATTTCATGTCTAAAACACCAAAAGCAATGGCAACAAAACCCAAAATTGACAAATGGGATCTAATTAAACTAAAGAGCTTCTGCACAGCAAAAAAAACTACCATCAGAGTGAACAGGCAACCTACAGAATGGGAGAAAATTTTTGCACTCTACTCATTTGACAAAGGGCTAATATCCAGAATCTACAAAGAACTCAAACAAATTTACAAGAAAAAAGCAAACAACCCCATCAACAAGTGGGCAAAGGATATGAACAGACACTTCTCAAAAAAAGACATTTATGCAGCCAAAAGACACATGAAAAAATGCTCATCATCACTAGCCATCAGAGAAATGCAAATCAACACCAAAATGAGATACCATCTCACACCAGTTAGAATGGGGGTCATTAAAAATCAGGAAACAACAGGTGCTGGAGAGGATATGGCAAAATAGGAACACTTTTACACTGTTGGTGGGACTGTAAACTAGTTCCAACCATTGTGGAAGACAGTGTGGCGATTCCTCAGGGATCTAGAACTACAAATACCATTTGACCCAGCCATCCCATTACTGGGTATATACCCAAAAGTTATAAAACATGCTGCTATAAAGACACATGCACACGTATGTTGATTGTGGCACTATTCACAATAGCAAAGACTTGTAACCAACCGAAATGTCCAACAATGATAGACTGGACTAAGAAAATGTGGCACATATACACCATGGAATACTATGCAGCCATAAAAAATGATGAGTTCATGTCTTTTGTAGGGACATGGATGAAGCTGGAAACCATCATTCTCAGCAAACTATCACAAGGACAAAAAACCAAACACCGCATGTTCTCACTCATAGGTGGGAATTGAACAATGAGAACACCTGGACACAGGAAGGGGAACATCACACACCAGGGCCTGTTGTGGAGTGGGGGGACGGGGGAGGGATAGCATTAGGAGATATACCTAATGTTAAATGACGAGTTAATGGGTGCAGCACACCAACATGGCACATGTATACATAAGTAACAAACCTGCACATTGTGCACATGTACCCTAAAAGTTAAAGTATAATAAAAATAAATAAATAAAATAAATACCCATATGTAAAACCCCAAACTATAAAAATCCTAGATGAACAACTAGGATTAACTGAAGAATTAAATTACTTCTGATAGAAGCCTAATCCTCAGAAAACTTGGCATTGAAAATAATCAATATGTACCTGTCTGAGCAGTGGTCCTCTGGTTGCTTACTACATAAAGAGACAGAAACAAACCACTACCTCTAGGGTACCTACCTCTCTTCTTTCCTCTTTCCTTCTTTTATGACCTATTTTTGTTTCCTACTTTTATCCCTTTATATCTTTCAAACATGTCATCAGTATGTATGGGGGACACATTAATATTCTGAAGTAAATTGATGATGGGATTTCATTCTGGATGTTATAACTTCAGAATGTACTTGGCAGTATTCTGATCCACAAGGAGAAAAATGATCAATAAGGCTCATTTACTTTCTCTGATCCCTCCTGAAAAGTGCTGAGACAACTTTTTCAACACTCTTGCTATGCTCATGGCCAATACCCAATATACTTCATCTGAACATTGCTGAAAAATAGGCATCATTTTTTCTTCTGCCATCACTTTGTTCTGAATAGCATAAATATTTTTTGGTCCATGAGTCTAGATAAAGAATTCTTCCAGTTTATCCTAGCAGAAAAAATTGGCAAGGAATTCACACTCTACTTTTATCCTCCTAATTTGATATGAGGCTGCTAATAGAAACATTCATGTAAATGATACATATTAGCAGCTGACCTTGAAAAATAACAACATTTCCCACATACAAACAAGTCTCCACTTGGCACTTTACTAGTGATAATGATCCAGAACAGGTGTTAATTCTCAATTTGCAGGTTCATTATGAATCTGTTAAAGTTTAGAAGTTGAACATGTCTCTCATGTGATTCCAAATTTCGCCATTTTCATCTATATAGTGGGTTTATGTTCTCTTACTTACAAAGAACATATGCTCTGCAATGGTAATGTGGTCCATAGCATATTCAGTATTACATAAACATTCTTTCTCTTGAAGCATTTACCTACAAATGTAATGTATTCTCAGCTCCCCTCCTCATTTTAAAAGTTCATTTAGATGACAAACTGTGGATTTCTTTAAAACGTTTTCACTTTTTCCCATGTACTTTTATAAAAGTTTGCACATCTTTTTTGTGGTGTACTCAGAAGCGCATTTGTTTCTAACAGCATAGATACATATATTGCTGCCCATTTGAATCATTTGTTTTGTTTTCTATGGGGCAGAGAGTAATGTGAAAACAAATTAGTATTAGTCATGAAAGCTTTCTCAAAAATCAAAGTGTTATATATTCATACATGCATTGTCCCACTTTGAAATGACCAGCAGTAGGCACTGATAATATTTAAATACAATGATTAAAATTTTTTTCTTAAAAAATAGGTTTTCTTCAGGATAAGTCAGATAAAACATAATAAAGTTACCTGGTGAATCTTCAAAATGTTGGAAACCAGAAATCTTACTGGAACTAGTGAGAGAAATCTTTGAGCTTACACTGAAGTATAAGAATGTAAGTGTATTGGAAATATCATATTCAACATGGAACATAAATAGAAGTAGGCAGAACATATGAGAAAGTCAAGAATATTAACATAGATACCAAGACTAGAATGCCTGTAAGTAAAAAACATAAATGAAATAATTTGAAGTAGAAGTAAACAATTTAAATATGGTTACTTTTACTTTAATTTACAGTAAAGTATTTGAAAACTTGAAATAGTCTCATATATGTTGTTATTTAAATTTCATTTTAAATATGTTGAAATCAAATTAGAGTTAACCAATTAGTTACAAGTATCTGAGAAATCATTGCTGGAATGCAAGAGAAAAGAAACAAGAAACAGAACCATCATGTATTAAATGCCTACGGTGTGCCAGATACGCCTTTTAAAACTTTTGCATGATTTTTCCCAGTTAACCCTCACAAATAGCCTAACAAGTTAAAATGTTGTTTTATTCAGATAAAATAATTGAAAATTTGAAAAGTTTGATTCACGTACCTATACCAACACAAACACTAAGTAGTGAAGCCAGAATTTAACCTCATCTCCTTCATACTCTATCATTTCATATTCTTCTCAGAGGAACCTCAGTGACATCCAGTTGTGCAGAAATATATGTGCCTGCTTGGTAGGAAGGATTTGAACCTGCATTAAGAAGCAATCTAAAGTTATTTCAGTTGGAGTGGCCATGAGGCAGAGATATTGGATTTTTCATGGTTGTTAATTGCAATGGGAGGAAGAGCTGTTATGTTAGAGGAGATTTAGTTCAGTAAGAGCTGTTTATGGCAGAGAAAGCAAGAATGGTGTAGTAAAGAGTCTGCAGAGACACTAAGTACCTTTTCTCAAACACATTTGACTCCCAGATAAGGATGCTCACTAAAATGATAAAGTATGGTGTCCAGGTAAAACTTATTGCCTGAGAAACTGGGAGAAGATGCAGTTTTAACTTGTTCTCTCAAGCAAAACTTGGAAAGACCATATTTTGAAAATGTTTGTTTGCTTTCTTGTTCTAATTGAATACAGCAAGTGTAAAAATGCCTTGAATTTCAAGGACCTAAGAAAGTCAAAATAGCCTGAAGACTTTTATTAATACAAAAGCTGATGATGTTTGTAAGAAATACAAACTCATGGCCCTCATATAATAAGTTTGAGGCCAGAACCTCAAACTTATTATATGAGAGCCATGAGGTTATATTAGTTTTTTCCAGAGAAACGGAACCTATATAGGACATGTATATAGGCACTGAGAGCAAGAGATTTATAATGGGAATTGGTTTGCATGATTATGGAGGCCAAGAAGTCCAACAATATGCCATCTGCAAACTGGAGAACCAGGGAAGCCAGGGGTGGAGGGTGTGGGTAGTGGGAAGCTAGTATAAATCCTGGAGCCTGGGAACCAAGATCTCTGATGTTCAAATGTCCAAGGGCAGGAGAAGATGGATGTTTCAGCTTAAGGAGAGACAGGAAACTTATCCTTCCTCCACCTTTTTGTTCTATTTAGGCAGTAAAGAACTGAGTAAGGAACTACATTCCTGAAGGTGGATTTTCTTTACTCAATCTAGTAATTCAAATGTTGGTCTCCTCCAGAAACACCTTTACAGACACACCAAAAATAATGTTTTACCAGCTATCTCAGTATTATTTAATCCAATCAAGAAGACACATAAAATTAACAATAACAGAAATAAATAGAGAAAAGAATGTTCAATAATAAGTGTGAATGTTAGAAGATCGATCATGAAATAATAAAAGCCTTCCAAAGGTGGCTTACAGATGTCCTACCTCAGGGACTAGAAGGAGGGTAATGCCATTAATAGAGCTCATGTGACGAAGCCATTTTCTAACTCTTGCGCAACTGGCATCTAATGTAATGAAAGATAATTTTTCCATCCAACTACAAAGTTCATAGACAGGCAAGAAATTATTTGGACAACGTGTTTTAAAATTTGAACATGTATGTAATCCCCATTTTGAGAACTTTGGAATTCTCTAGTAATGTTGAAGACACCCACCTCCTATGAACCACCATTTCCACTCTTAGTTATCTACGCTACAGAGAAACTCATACACATATGCAAGAAAAAAAATTTCTGATTGTAGAAAATTGAAAAAAAACTTGTGTTCATCATATATACACACACACTTATATACTATATACATAACTATATAGTGTGTTTATATATGATATATAAGATAGTGTATATATACAAAAAGTGTGTGTATATATAGTGTGTATATACATATAGTGTGTATATAGTGTGTGTACAAATAGTGCATGTGTATATATAGTATGTATATGTAATATATATAGTGTGTACACAGCATATATAGTGTGTATATTTAATGTGTATATTGTGTATATATTTAGTGTGTATATAGTGTATGTG
Organism: Homo sapiens; assembly: GCF_000001405.40. Taxonomy (NCBI): domain Eukaryota; kingdom Metazoa; phylum Chordata; class Mammalia; order Primates; family Hominidae; genus Homo; species Homo sapiens. The sequence goes on from NW_013171806.1 coordinate 32,866, forward strand.
AATATATTACACACACACATGCTGAGAGAGAGATTACCAATTTCCTCCAGTAATGAATTTACCTCTAGATGAGGTATATTTAGGACTAAGGCAAAATACAAAGGGATTTTATAAATGTTCAATTATATAAATGTTCTGGGGGGAGGCACGAGTTGAGTCTTTGGGAAGCAAACATTGATTCAGAATTTAGTGTGCAGGATATTTATTGAAGAGTGTCCTTGAGATCCACATCTGTTGAAGGGAAGGGAAGGAAGCAGAGGAGAGCAAAGGGAAAAGTTAAAATGCAGTGCAAGCCCAGTGGCAGTCTCAGCTGACCTTATGAGGATCTCTGTTGCTAAAACGGCCCATCAGGTTGGCCATTTATAGCCCAACCTGAAGTAGTCATTGGATATTGGCTATTCCAGAAGGGCCTTCCTTGCAGAGAGTGGGTAACTAGAAGCTGAGGCAATTCATGAAGGGGCCGACAGCTGAAACCTCTCTCAATGGACAACTTCTAGTAACAGCTGGCTCAATAAATTCTTCCTTTGAAAGAGAACTAAGCTCAATTCAATAAACCAAGTCAAAGACAAATGAATAATAAAACTAGGAATAAATATTTGCAAAGAATATGGCTCACTGAGGACACATTACCTTAGTACATAAAGATTGCTTACAGCTCATGAGAAAAAAATAAATCAAACAATCTAATAAATACAAAAATGAGCAGAGAACATAAACAGGCTACTCACTCCCACCATAAACACACATGAACATGTGCAAAAATAGGCAAATGACCATTAACAAAATAATATAATGATAAATCTCTGAAGGAAAAAGAAGGACAAATTAAAACTATAATTAAAAATCTTTGTTTAACAATTAAAAGGATATACTCTGTTAGCAAAAATATGGGAAATACCATAGTCGTATATTGACATATATTGCTTAAAATGTATGAAGAACAATTTAGCACTATATATCATTTTTGAAGTTTATATTCTTGACCAAGAAATTTTCCTTCTAAAAATATATCCAGTAAATATAGTCACATATATGCATAGGAAATATTCATCTGATCAAATTTTATAGTGTAAAAAACACAGAAAACAAATAACAAAAATATCTAATAATATGGAACCTATTAAATAAATTATTTTAGAGCCACATATTAGAGCAACATGCAATCATTTAAAAATAATATATCTCTTTTAAAAGCGTAAAAAATTAAAAGAGACACTTTTAGTGAAGAAAGAATAATAGTAAACACTGTATATAATGAACCATTTTTGTAAGAAAAAGTTATCTCTTTGTAAATACTCATTCCTCTCTCTCTCTCACACACACACACACCCCCACACACTCAGACTCTTTATGCTTATTTATTCATAGAATCTCAAATCTCATTGGAAGAATACATTATAGACAGGTAATGCTCATTTGAGGAGAAGGATTAAGGACTCAAGGTCAGAAATAGTAGACTTACTTTCCAAATTTGATGTCTAATTATTCTCCCTCTGAATGCATCTCTTTAATTAGGTTTTCCAATGATAACAAATAAAACTGTGTGAAAGACATATACCAAAATCCAAATAACTTCTTTAATATGTTAGTGAGATTTTTAGTTGCTTTTTTTTGCAATGAATATGTTATTTGGATAAAGAGGAATACACTTATAAAAATAAATGAGCATATTTTCCAAATTTAAATTATTAGAAATTTTACGGTTTGAGGTATTAAGGAAGTAACATCAAAGTTTCGCCTATGTTTCATGTTTCTTCAAATTTTACTTCACAGCACATTTTCTATATTTGTTTAGATACATAGAATTTTTCTTAATGAAAATAAATAGAAATTTTATAAACTACAGATGCTTAAAAAGAAGAAAATTCTAAGCTTTTATAATACCCACCAAAAGGAAATGACCAAAGCAATCATATTTTTGTTGGTAGTATCTTTTGATGTGCATATGCATGGGTGTGTTTTTTATAAACAAAACAAGATTATATTCATTTTAAAGTTTCTTTATTGCAAGTAATCCATCATAAATATTTTAATGTTTTAACATTTTATAATATGTTCAAAATATAACCTACATTTATGTTTCTATTTTATCAAAATGATCTTTTTGTTTAATTTGGTTTATTTTTTGAAAAATCAAATATTTTGTCTTTGTATTAAGCTGCTTATATTTAAGAGGATGTTAATTATTTTACATGCTTCAAAAGAATGTACCTCAACTATTTAATGACAATTTCCTGTAAAGAGAATCATAAGGAATAAGATATGATTGTCACATCTCAAGAAATGGCCTAGCAAATTCAGTTCAACCATAGCAATCACACACCAATAAAAAGAAAAACAATAGGAAAGTGCAAGAAGGTAAACAACTCTTCTATGGAATCTATAATAAAAACTACTAGGAAACAAACCTTTGTAATATTTGAAAATATACCAACAAAAGCACTTCAGAACAGTTTGAACTCATATTCAGTATAATGCTTTCATCTCTGAAAATGAGCAGTGCATACAGAAGAGTTTGGGGACTTGGTTTGCATTGCATAGGATGTGCTGATCCATTGCCATGAAAAGATTTTGGGCATGTATTCTAGACATTAAATTATGGTAATTGAAATGGGAAAATATCTGTAGCCTTTCTCAATGTGTTTGGGTTAGTTGCACATGAACATCTGCTTTCCCTTTATAACCCGAGACTGGAGAATAGCATCAATTTGCAGGCATTAACAACTTCTGCTCATAAAACAGCAGACAACTCTCTGTTGGAACACCACACCACATAGTCTGCTCAGGGAACAGTCTCTAAGCGCTTACAACAATATCAAGCCAAAAAATGTACTTGCTAAAAAGAAAAGAGATCAGTGTTCAGCCATTTTGTGTGGATATTTCTTTCTTCCTCTTTTTCCTTCCATCCTTGAGTAGATGGAAAAGTTCACGTTTGTGCCATTTTAAATCACAATTGATAAGTTATTAAAACTATAATGTTTACAGTATATTGATATGACTCAAATTTCTCACAACCTATTCACTCTACTCCCTAGAGAAACCATGGTATTTTTTCAGATCCTTTCTCTGCATAAATTTTACAGTATTATTTTTGTAACTAGCTTTTCCCATTTACATTATTGATATAGGTGTGATAAACGTAAACATAGTAAGTATATCATGTCAAGGGATCCATATGATTTCATTTAGGTATATAAAATAATTATGTAACTTTTCTTTTATCGAAAACATTTTGCTGATGTAAATTATATTCCAAATATTAAGGACAAAATAATTTCAGTTTTATAAAAAATATTTGAAGAGAAGAAAGAGAGGGAACTCTTTCCACCTTGTTAGGAAGTCAGATAAACATGACAAAGGTATCAAAAGATGAAAAGGTAAAGGCCAATCTTTGTTAAAAACACACAAGCAAAAATCCCTAACATCGTCAACTTCTTTTCAACTTTGTACCAAATTGGGCAATAGAATAAAGAAAGAAAAAGAAATAAAAGAATAAAAATTGGTAAAGTTAATTATTGTGCAAATGTCCAAATGAATCTGCAAGAAACTCTTAGAATCAATAAGTGGATTTGGCAAATTCACTTGAAAAACAATTATTATGAAAAATCAATTTTACTTTGATACACCAGCAACATTTAAAAAAATTTGAATAACCGTTTTTAGTTTTATCAAAAATACACAGGACTTAGGAATAAATCCAGTGGACAATGTGAAAACTACAAAACACTGTTGAAGAAAATAAAAAGAGCCCAAATAAATGTAGAGACATATGCTGTTAATGAATGAGAAGACTTCATATTTTAAACATGTCACTTCACTCTAAATTTATTTTTTGATTCAATATAGCCCCACCAAAATTGCAGCAGCTCTTTTTTTAATTGTTAAATGGTGAGTTGATTCTAAAATATATAGAAAAAGAATGGGCAACAAATAGCAAAAAATACATTTTCCTCCATTCCTCTTGAAGTTCACAGGGCACTATCCTGTCTGACCAATTCCTGCCTTGGTTTAAGCAGGAGAAGTCAGAAGTGGAGGCAGGTCCACCCCAGGCTCTTCATGCTCACAGCATCTAACACTTCCTTGCTTGGCTTGCATCCAGAGGGGCACCTTCTTTCTCTCACTAGTTTTCCTGAAAATATGTTGTGCTATGGTTTCTTCTTCAATCAGATCTCATTGCACAATATCTTTGAAAGAGTACTCATAGTTATTCTTCTAATTTTAAGTATTCAAGGTTATAGATTTGTTAAACAAAAGATAATTTTCTATTTGTTTAGAGATTTAGGATCAAAAGGGCCAGCTGTAATGTGTAGTTTGAATTTTGATCCAATTCTCCTTGGTTATAGTTTTCTTTTTAGAAACTCTTCACAATGAAAATATGATGGATGTAGTATATGTACAATCTTACCAAACAATATCCTAAAACAAGAAGGTTGTTGGGTATTCAAATGAGTGAAATCTTAAACTTTTTGTTTGTCAAAGGAAATCTAAGGACATAAACAATATGTCATTGTGTATGTTAGAAGTGACGCATATCAACAATTTCCATGAGTTGTCTTCAGCTCCAATTCTACATTTGTCAATGCTGTTGACTTCTTTGTAATTCCCTCTAGACTCACCAAGAAACTGGCAGAATCTCCAGCTAATTTGGAATAGAAATGTGATGTGATGAATTAATCTAGGTATTTAGCTTCTGATATGAGGACTCACAGCTCAGTTAAAATATTTTTCCCGAGTCCTAGAAATCAGAAATCCATTTGGAAGGAAGTGGCTTGCAGTTCCCATTAATAATTTTCTGAGGGTATCAAAATATACAGTTTTTCTTCATCAGTTTATCAACCACTTTATTTTGCATGCATCATTTTTATACATGTATTACTTATGAATCCAATAGCTCTTTTTCTTTAAAATATCCTGACTCATAATATAATTAAAATTATAAAATGCATAGTGGCAGGGAGATATTTATCTGTGAAGAGTGATGTTTTTAGAGACTTAGATACAGTGCTTAAATTGGAGAATATTACCAATATGTCTCCTATAAAAAATGTAACTCAGAATAACATATTAAAGGGTATTGGAAGTCCTAGCCAGAACAATTAGGCAAGAGAAAGAAATAATGGGCATCCAAATAGGAAGAAAGGAAGTCAAACTATGTTTACAGAAGACATCATCCTATATCTAGAAAACTCCATAGTCTTGACCCCAAAGCTCCTTAAGCTGATAAACAACTTCAGCAAAACCTCAGAATACAAAATTAATAGCATTCCTATATACCAACAATAGTCAAGTGAGAGCCAAATCAGGAACATAATTGCATTCACAATTGCCACAAAAGAAATAAAATACCGAGGAATATAACTAACCAGGGAGGTGAAAGACTTTATCAAAGAGAACTATAAAACACTGCTCAAAGGAATCAGGGATGACACAAACAAATGGAAAAGCATTCTATTATCATGGATAGGAAGAATCAATATTGTTAAAATGGCTATACTACCCAAAGCAATTTGTAGATTCAATGCTATTCCTATCAAACTACCAATGGTATTCTTCACAGAACTAGAAAAAAAAAAACTACTTTAAAATTCGTATTGAACCAAAAGAGACCTCAAATACCCAAGGCAGTCCTATGCAAAACCAACAAAGCTGGAGGTATAATGCTGCCCTACATCAGACTATACTACAGGGCTATAGTAACCAAAACAGCATGGTACTGCTGCAAAGACAGACACATAGACCAATGGAACATAATAGAAAGCCAAGAAATAAAGCCACACATCTACAACTATCTGATCTTTGACAAAACTGACAAAAAAACAGCAATAAAGAAAGGAAATGCATTTCAATAAAAGGTGCTGGGATAAGTGGCCAGCCATATACAGAAGATTGAAACAGAACCCCTTCCTTACACTATATACAAAAATTAACTCGAGATGGATTAAAGAGTTAAATGTAAAACTCAAAACTATGAAAACCCTGGAAGACAACCTAGTAGGAATGGGAAAATATTTCATGACAAAGACACCAAAAGCAATCACAACAAAGGAAAAAATTAACAAACTAAACAGCTTCTGCACAGCAAAAGAAACTATCAACAGAATAAACAGACAATCTACAGAATGGGTGATAATTTTTGCACACTATGCATCTGACAAAGGTCTAGTATCCAAAGTCTATAAGGAACTTAAACAAATTTACAAGAAAAAAACAAATAACTCCATTAAAAAGTGAGCAAAGGACCATTTTCACAAGAAGACATACATGTGGCCAACAATCATATGAAAAAAAGCTCAACATCACTGATCATTAAAGAAATACAAATCAAAACTACAAGACACCCCATCTCACATCAGTAAGAATGGTTGTTATTAAAAAGTCAAAAATAACAGATGCTAGTGAGGTTGTTGAGAAAAAGGAATCCTTATTCACTGTTGGTGGGAGTGTAAATTAGTTTAGCCATTTTGGAAGGAAATGTGGCAATTCCTCAAGGACCTAGAAACAGAACTACTATATGACCAAGCAATCCCATTATTGTGTATCTACCCATAGTAATATAAATTGTTCTAACATGAAGACACCTGTGCATGTACGATCACTGCAGCACTATTCACAATGGCAAAGACGAGGATTAAACCAAAATTCTCGTCGATGGTAGACTGGATAAAGAAAATGTGGTACACTTACATGATGGAATACTATGCATCCAAAAACAGAATGAGATCATGTCCTTTGCAGGGACATGGGTGGAGCTGAGGGCCATTATCCTTAGTAAACTAACACAGGAAAAGAAAATCAAATGCTGCATGTTCTCACGTATAAATGGGAGCTAAAGGATGAGAACACACGGCCACAGAGGGGAACAATAGATACTGGGGCCTATCGGAGGGTGCAGGGTGGGAGAAGGGAGAGAATCAGGAAAAATAACAAATGAGTACTAGGCCTAATACCTGGGTGATTAAATAACCTGTACAACAAACCCCCACATGACACAAATTTACCTATGTAACAAACCTGCACATGTACCACTGAACTTAAAAGTTGGGCTGGGCACAGTGGCTCAGGCTTGTAATCCCAGCATTTTGGGAGGTCGAGGTTGGTGGATCACTTGAGGCCAGGAGTTGGAGACTAGCCTGGCCAACATGGTGAAACACTGTCTCTACTAAAAACACAAAAATTAGCCAAGCATGGTGGCAGGTGCCTGTAGTCACAGCTACTTGGGAGGCTGACACAGGACAATCGCTTGAACCCAGAAGGCAGAGGTTGCAGTCAGTTGAGATTGCACCACTGTACACTCCAGCCTGAGCAACAGAGCAAGGCCCTGTCTCAAAAAAAAAAAAAAAAAAAAAAAAAAAAAAAAAAATATATATATATATATATATATGTTAAAAATATATATATGTTAAAAATAAAGAAAAGGAAAAAAGACAAAAATAAGTACAACAAAAAAGAGTAGTGTTCTGACCAGACACCAAAAATTTTGAAAGGAAAAGACAAAAGGAAAATATTTACAAACTAATGTTTTAAATGTATGAAGGCATAAAAGAACTGATGAAAAATCTCATTGTTCTACATGACTAAATATAATTTACTTTTGCTTTCATGATCAAATTTATGATCACTTTTCTAAACAATTGTTTGTTTCACTTCATATCTGAGTGACAAGTGTTTTCCCTTTTGCTAAATTAAAATAAACATGCATTTCTGCCTCATTTGATGGGTTTGGGAGAGAGACTTTATTAGTTTCATTTTTTACTGTTTTTTTTTTTAAATCACAGAGGTGTTGGGATTTAAGCTTATGCTGAATAGCACGCTATTTGATGCTATCTTTACAATGATTTTTCTGATAATGCCAATTTCACAGATATGTTATGACCCAGAATTTTAAGATTGTCTCTTTTGTTTTCAAATTTACTTTCCTTTTAAATAAAAAACATGATTATCAACAGGTTTTATGCATTATTAATGGCTTAAATATAGGGAACATTTTGGTCTTATAATGCACACATTATTCATCCTATATTATTTCACTTACTCTTGAGCAAAGAAGGATGTTACCTTAAATTTTAAAGTAATAGCTGACTTGTTTGTCTAAAACAAGTATCAAAGTTAACTGTCATTCCTTAGCTATAACTTTAAAAGTTACTAACTTTTCTTTTAATTTTAGAAAAGTCCCCAAAGTTTTTTTATTTTCAACTTTGTACACTTAAAAGATTTTGTCAGAAGAGTAAATGCAGTTTACAATAGAAAGGTAACGTGACAAATCCAGGAACTCTTGATGTACATTGCTAACTGTAAATTTATATACATTACTGAAAATCTGTGTTAAGTTAATGTGAAATAGCTTTACAATTTCAATTTGTATTAGCCTAGTGATGATTTAGAATTTATCTCCATTCACATAGTGTTTACTAAACACATACATGCAACATACACATATTAAAAATATTACACAATATTTTGTTTTCAAATGTCCTAAAATAGTAAATATTATATAAAACTTAAGTTTCTTATAAAACTTTAAGAAGTTTGTACAGACACAAATATAGTTGATAGTATTATGAAGTTGCTATAAGACATTTACTGTAAGACATTTACTCTTTTGGACATCAGTGAACTTTTGTAAAATTGTACATTTCAGGGATGTTTTGGTGATTCGATTTGGTGACAGTCTCTTCCCTCACCTTCTGTTCTCTCACTCTCAGAGTATATGTGTCTCTTGTTAGGTTGACACCTCTCTCTCCCCTGTGTTTGTGCTTATATATAATATTCTCTAACATCAATGTATCATTGTTTCTTCAGATTATCCTTGTCTTCTCTGCATTCTAACCTATCCTCTGCAACTTGGCTCTTTCTGTAAAGACTATAACTATGTTAAAATGTAAACTTCTTTCATATTATTGTTATAATCATTTTACTACCTTGAATATGATCCCTCCAAAGCTATGCACCTGTCTCTGCTCTTTCTTTCTGTTGATAATTCCCATTTATTTCTTAATCTTAAGTTTGAAGAATCTACCCCTGAATGCTCATTATATGAACTGCAGCTATCAAATGTAATAAATACTTTAGTTCTAATGTTGCTTCACCACATCCCCCCACAAAACATATCTAATCAGGCCCCAACTCCAATCCTACCTCTATAAAACCATGTCATATCGATTTTTGTTAATGTCTTTGTATTGGGCCTACATGGCTAGGATGAACAATGTTTCTCAGAATTCCCATTGTTCTATATTCCTTCCGGTGGATCACAGGAGACATTTTAAAGATTAGAAGGCAAAAGTGAACCACAACCATTTATTTTTCTAATGCTAAGAAAGGTCTAATGCTAGGAAACAACAGAAGGTGTTGTAGCTCATGTATATGGTCATTTACCTGCTGGCTTGGGACATTAGATAGCCCACTTTCTTCCAGAACTTTCTTCAACTTCTCCAACTCCTGGGTCAGGACTTATTTAGATTCATGAGGAAAAGCACCAGTTTCTTTTGACACCATCATTGAAGTTAGAAGCAGTAAGACACTTAAACAGGTTCCAGTCTGTCCTGGTGGGTTCAAGCCCACTTTCATAAGTTCTAGTTTCTACTCGTTCTCTCCTATTTCATATCCATCTTCCTTTCTGACTTACTGACCTCAGATGTCAAGCTCCAGGATCAGATGAGAAGACAGCAGCCTTACACAAACTCTTTAGCCAATGTCCACAGTTGTACAAGGACAGATCCTTTTAATAAATTATGAAAGTATATCTATCTCTGGCCGGGCGCAGTGGCTCACGCCTGTAATACCAGCACTTTGGGAGGCCAAGACGGGCGGAACACGAGTTCAGGAGATCGAGACCATCCTGGCTAACACGGTGAAACCTCGTCTCTACTAAAAATACAAAAAAAATTAGCCGGGCATGGTGGTGGGCGCCTGTAGTCCCAGCTACTCGGGAGGCTGAGGCAGGAGAATGGCGTGAACCCGGAAGGTGGAGCTGGCAGTGAGCCGAGATCGCGCCACTGCACTCCAGCCTGGGTGCAGCTCTGGGTGACAGAGCAAGACTCCATCTCAAAAAAAAAAAAAAAATGTAAGTATATCTATCTCTGTCTCATCAATTTTTAATCTATCATACACCTATCTTTTTACCTATCTATCTTTTATAATAGTTTTCTTTGATGATCATGCCTGGACTGATAGAGTCCCCTAATCTTTCCTTTGTTTCTTTTCTGACTTTGATCATTACAATCTCCTGACTGGTGTTTCTGCCTCCAATCTTGCACCTCTCCAAGCATTCCCCCCAGCTATAAAAGTTAATTTAACGTTATCAAAATTTATTTGTGTTATTTTCCAAAGTAAAACCCTGTTGTGGCTCTTGGTCACTTTCACTGCACACCACAAAACACAGATATGATCTCCAAGGCATTATGAGTTCTGGAATTTAAAAAAATCTCTCCACTCTTATTTTTCACTACAACCCCATCACCTATGAGCATTAGGTACACACTTTCATTCAGCTATGCCTAAATATTTTAAATTCTTTAGACCTCCTTTGCTTTCATTCAAGCTCCTTCCTTACTTCTGTATTCATGATGAATATGTAATCATCTTCATGACTTATGTCAAGAAATGTCCCTCCTGGTGATCCTCTCAGGTGAATAAAAGCTACTCCTGTATCAGTCACTTAATTGTGAATGAATATTTTTTATGTAAACTTTTCCAATGCTAAAAGGATAATTTACCAGCTTTACTGATCTTTACCTTTGTGCTGTGGCCCCTTAATACACTAATAGTATTGGGGAGAGTGTGGTGGGGATTTAATTTTGGATTAACTTGGAAGGTAACCTTCGTCAGCCAATGGAGTATGAAAAATATGTTGAACTCCACTCTGGGTGTCTTTATGCCTGATAAACCTGTCACAAGGATCCTTTGCTCTCCCGTGCATTTCAGTGTCTGTGGACAGCCTTTCTGACTCTTAATAATTTTAGTATATATAGACTGCTTTATCCACTTTTTAGCTTCCTCTTCCTATTATGGAAAATATACGACAAACCCTCTTTACTGATTTCCATGTGTGCTTTGTTTTTTGTTTTGTTTTGTTTTGTTTTCATTTACTTTCTTGACCCTTTCTCTGGATTTGTGTCTCTCAGGTGTCATTCTGTATACTCAACAGAGCTCTACTAAATTTGATTACATACAAACATGCAAAAAGAACCAATGATAACTGATGCCTCTGCTCTACAACTCCTCAGAACATGGGACCTAATAATCTCAGATGATATTAGATTACATCACATTATAATTATAATTATAATAACAAATTAGCCCCACATAAAACTGTGGGAGGCTAATATTGCATAACAGAGCTGATGTTTGGGATAAATGGAATTCTGTTCTCATCAGAGGCATCAACTATGACGGAAGCTTATGAAGGTGAAGGAGGATCGATTTAATGAGGACCGTTAGAATTCTAGCCCTAATTAATATTAGAATTAGCTACTTTTTCTCACACTACACCATGCATCATTTCAAATAGAAAAGTAGTGCCTAATGAAACTGTGGAGCCTAGTGTTAAATCATGGGTATCTGAGCCAGAGGGTCTGCTTTTGATTTCTGCCTTCGCTACTTACCAGCTGTGTGACCTTGGGCAAGTGTCTCTCTTCCCTCAGTTTAAAATTTTGCTGCTATTTCTCAGAGGGTTGTAGTGAGAAATTCAGTGAGTTTAATGCCAACCTTAGAATTCTTTAGGCAATGAAATATTAGCAATGGGAAGAATGAAAAGACCCTGACATGGAGATCCCTTTATTTGTCATTTGAAAAAAGGGAGTCTAACAGATGCTTTCAAATCTTTCCTTTGTTTCTTTCTTTCTTTCCTCCTCCCTCTCCCTCCTTCTTATTCTTAATCAGACATCATTCTGCCTTTAAATGCTCAAAAATGTTAGAAAGAATCCCTTACTGGAGACTCTTATATGGAACCCTGAAAATGGGGCAAACCAAGTATTTATTTATTGTGGTAGGTTCACTTTGACAAATCCACAATGGAGAGATATAAGAGAGCTGCTTCTCTGAGAACCGTTTTGTTTTCTCTCATTTCTTGTGGTCCTTTTTCTTTTGACATCTCCACCTTCCCCACATTGTTCTTCTTCTTCATAGCCCTGACCCATGTGCAGGCATTTTTGTTCTAAACAGTTTCCCTTTAAACTTTTTTGCAAGTATTGAGGTATGAAGAGATTCTCAGACAGAAAATGAGTGTAAAGAATGCAGGAAAGGTGGTTTCCCTCAACTGGGAATAACCTACTGCAAAAACAGACATTTCTAATGTTGAGACTTAGCCCCATCTTTTAACTCCATTTGTCATTATGCCAAAAAAGTTTCCATTTTTTATGTGTTTCTAAAAGCCTCTACTATGATTTTATTTGGCCCAGAGTTCCAGAGTATAAAGCTTCCTTCACAGTGGATATGGCAGTTATCCTGCTCTGTCAGGTTTTATTTTTAATTTTTTTTTATTTCAGTTTCTGGGTTTTTGTTTTTGTTTTCTGTTTTGTTTTGGTTTTGCCTTTGTGGCAAAGGAAGAAAAGAGAAAGAAGTTTTTGTTTGCTCTAGGAAGGAATTTTGTTCACAGTGGACATGACAATGAGGGTTCAAGGGCAGGGAATTCCCACACTCTGTCAATATGAGGGGCACCTGTGACTCCTAGAGCTTAGGACAGGACTTTGAACAAAGTAAGTGTTAAATAAGTAATCATTTGACAACTGAATGGAGTGTGTGTTCATGAGGCACTGCTGATGGTGGCAGCAAAGTCAACACAAAGACACTGAAAGCAACAATCCAGGCAGCACTGATGGCTCCTTCCTGGGCCACTTAGAGCTACAGAAGAGTCCAGAGCAATGACTGTGACTGTGGCCCGACCAAGATGGATTTAGAGTTCCTTCCAACTTGATTACGCTTTAGACAAGTTTCTTCCTGACTCTAGGCTGCTGGCCTCCCTTTTCTTAAAGCATTTACTTTACAAAACTTGTCATTGTAAATCCTGCCTCTGCCCCTTTGAGATACATGTAAATCATCTCCCAGGCTCTTACCTGTTTTACAATGCAAAAATGACTTTGTTCAGGTCCTGAGAACCATTTCTTTGAAAATGTGTTGCCTATACACCATGGAATACTACACAGCCATAAAAAAAGAATGAAATAATATCCTTTGCAGCATCATGGATGCAGCTGGAGGCCATTATCCTAAGCAAATTAATGCAGGAACAGGAAACCAAATATTTCACATACTCACTTAGACGTGGGAGCTAAATACTGAGTACACATGGTCACAAAGAAGGGAACAATAAATACTGAAGATTACTTGAGGGTGGAGGGTAGGAGGAGGGTGAAGGTTGAAAAACTACATATTGGGTGCTATGCTGACCACCTGGGTGATGAAATCATTTGTATACCAAACCCCCAAAGATATGTAATTCACCCATATAACAAACCTGCACATGTCCCCTCTGAACCGAAAATGAAAGTTGAAAAAGGAAAAACAATGTGAAATATAAACAGCAAGGAAGATAGTGCCCCTATCTCCCAGTTCCAGTGGGAGCACAGGAGTCTTTCCACTTGAACAAAAGGGGCTTGCTATGTTCCAAGTCATAAAACCAAGTCCTATTATGAAAAAAAAAAGAAGTGGCTGGGCGTTGTGGCTCACGCCTGTAATCCCAGCACTTTGGGAGGCCAAGACGGGTGGATCACAAGGTCAAGAGATCGAGACCATCCTGGGCAAGATGGTGAAACCCCATCTCTACTAAAAATACAGAAATTAGCTGGGGATGATGATGGGCGCCTGTAGTCCGAGCTACTTGGGAGTCTGAGGCAGGAGAATCCCTTGAACCAGAAGACAGAGGTTGCAGTGAGCCAAGATCGCACCACTGCACTCCAGCCTGGCGACAGAGTAAGACTCTGTCTCAAATAAAAAAAAAAAAGAGAGAGAGAAAAAAGAAAAGAAAGTTTACTTTTCCTTTGGGTAAGGCCAACTGGCAAACCCAGACGGCCTAGATTCCCCCTCCCCAGTCCAGCTCTTAATAACTCTCCTGCTTTTGTATCTGAGGAGCAGGGTGTCTACACCCGCCCCATGCTAGCAACAGTATCAGAATAAAATTGTCTTCTCTCTGCTCGTCATGTTATCATGTCTGGTGCAATTTTGTCTTTAACAAGACCAACCAGCAGAGTGTGGAATATAAAACCGGTCACTTAAGGATTTGTCTTTAGGAACAAAAGCCGGCTGACAAATCACCTGGAGTAGCTTCAGATACAGGTACCATAGAGCAGAGAGTTACTCAGACACTATTCGTAACTGCCAGAATAAGACAACTGGGTAGAAAGAATTTATTCAGTAACACCATATGTGGGGTAAAAAGAATCAGGTCTCCTGACAGTGCCATACAAATACATGTATGAAAGCATGATTTACTTGAGGCTGGCTACTTAGAAGAGACTCCTCCTGGCTGTGTATGCTCTGAATTGCTGAATAATTTGGAGCTTTTTATGGAAAATAGATTGGGCAGCGCTTTATTAATACTTTTGGCTTTCCTTTAACTAAAGAGGAAATCTCCATCTTTATTAAGACATCATGTAGGAACAAATCAAAGTCTAGCAAGACATTCTGACCTGCCTCCTCTGGCCCACTCTTTGAGTGAGGTTCCAGCATTTTTGTCTTGTTTTCTGAGGCTTCATTGAAGAAACTTCACTTTTCCTTTTCTGACATTCACCTCACTCCCTCACTCACTTCTCAGTCTTCGGTTATTTCTTTTCCAATAAAAACAGCCTCTGCAAGATTTTCTTTTGTGACTGTAATTTCTGTGCAACTATAGAATTAACTGACTTGAAGACAGAAAACTGGGCAGAGAAGAGAAAAGAGAGAGAGAAAGATTAGGCGTGAGGCTATAGTTATAAATTGATCAAAGTTTCAGATTATGACAGAAGGAGGTAAGGTAAGTTGGAGAGAGATATATACACAGAGCAGTACAGGGCTTAGAGTGAGAAGTTACGAACATGGGAATGAGTCTGCTTTCTGTTTATAAAGCTATTTCTGGAACTTTTGTGAACTTCTCTGTAAAATCACTGCCTTACCTGTCAAACAATTTTGATAGGAACAAGTGAGATAACACAAAATTATGTGCTATAAACTATAAATTACTATAAGAATTGTCAGTATTCATTTAAAAGATATTCAAAAGGTGCTTACTCTAATAAACCTTGAGTTATTTTTATGATTTTTTCTTCATTATAATTATAAATTTTTAATCCTGATGAGAGTTGGTAATAAAAGCAATTACAGAGATGAGGAACTGTATTCATAAAGGGCCTGGACACATTTTTATTAACCAAAGGAAGAAATCTATTGTGGGAATTTATCAGCAAGCCTCATGAAGCACAGGAAACCACTTTTAAGCCTGTTTTTTTCACCCTTAGTCCCAAATCTATAATACAGCAACACAAACAGACAAAATATGTTCCTCAGAGCTTTCTCTGTCCTAAGGGAGAAAATAAATTTGTTCTGGTTTGTTTGTACTTTCCAGGAAACCAGAGTTTAGTAAATACTTTAATAGTTTATCAAAGGACTCCAAAAATCTGCTACCATAACAGTGTCGGTAAATTAAATTTTGCTTGCTTCTAGTTTGATGTATGTAGCATAATTGGAATCCACTTTATTTTTAAAGAATGGACTTTATGTGGCATCTATAAGTCTTCAATGTAAAATAAAGAATAACATTTATTCAATGTGTTGTGCACAGTCATGTTCCTGCTATAGACAGCATAGTCTGTAAGACTACACATCCTAAGATTGTTCACACATAGTTACTACGTGGCATTTGATATCCATAGCTCAGTGGTCTAAAAACTCAGTAATTCTCAGAAGGCTACATGTTTCTCATATGCAGGCTTGCCATCTGCAGTATCCTGGTCAGACTCTATATATCCAGTTACTGCAGTAAAAATAGGAACTACAATAACATAAACAGATGCTACACATTTGCTATGGTTGGAATGTGCCCCCTCGAACATTTATGTTGAAACTTAACCCCCATTGCGGTGGTATCAAGAGATGGGTCCTTTGGGGAAGTGATTAAATCATGAGGGTTCCCAGAACTATAAAAACCCTAAACCAAAACCTAGGCAATACATCCTAAACATAGAAATGGGCAAAGATTTTTAAACAAAAACATCAAAAGCGATCACATCAAAAGCAAAAAATTGACAAATAAGGTCTAATTAAACTAAAGAGCTTCTGCACAGCAAAAGAAACTATCTACAGGTTAAAGAGACTTGTAGACTATCCACAAGTTAAAGAATCTACAGAATGGGAGAAGTTTTTTGCAAACTATATATCTGACAAAGTTCTAATATCCAGCATCTATAAGGAACTTAAACAAATTTGCAAGAAAAAAAAAAAAACCAAACAACCCTGTTAAAAAGTGGTAAAAGAATACGAATAGACACTTTTCAAAAGAAGACATACATGTGGCCAGCAAGCATATGAAAAAAATGCTACACATCCTAACAATTATAGAAATGCAAATCAAAACCACAATGAGATACCATGTCATGTCAGAATGACTATTAATAAAAAGTCAAAAAATAACAGATGCTGGTGAGGTTGTGGAGAAACAGGAACACTTATACACTTTGAGGGGGAGCATAAATTAGTTCAACCACTGTAGAAAGCAGTGTGGTGATTCCTCAAATTGCTAAATGCAGAATTAACATTTGACCCAGCAATCTCATTACCAGGTAGATACCCAGAGGAATATAAATCATTCTAACATAAAGACACATGTCGATGAATATTCATTGTGGTGCTATTCACAATAGCAAAGACATGGAATCAATCTAAGGGCCTATCAATAACAAATTGGATAAAGAAAATGTGGTACATATACACCATGGAATACTATGCAGCCCCCAAACGAACAAGATTATGTCTTTTGCAAGAACATGGGTGGAGCTGGAGGCTACTGACCTTAGAAAACTAACACAGGAAGAGAAAACCAAATACTGCATGTTCTCACTTATAAGTGGGAGCTAAATGGTGAGAACTCATGAACACAAACAAGGGAACAGTGGACACTGGGGTATACTTGAGGGTAGGGGGTGAGAGAAGAGAGAGGAGCAAAAAAACACAAAAAACAAAAAACAAATAAAAAACTATTGGGTACTAGGCTGAATACCTGGGTGATGAAATAATCTGTACAACAACCCCCCTTGCCACAAGTTTATCTATATAACAAACTTTCACATATACTCCTGAACCTAAAACTTTTTAAAAAAATCATGAAAGTTCCACCTTTTTGAATGCATTAATCACCCGCAAAAGGGCTGGAGGGAACCAGCTTAAGCTCTTTTTTGCTCTTTCATACTTCCACAATGTGAGGACATAACAAAAAAGCTCTCAGCAGACACCAAATACAGGCACCTCGATCTTGGAATTTCCAGATCTGTAAAAACTTTTAAAAATACATTTTTATTATTTAAAAAGTACTCAGTCACTTTATTTTGCGTTTTTTTAAAACAGCGACAGAGACTAAAATAACACTTTCTTTTATTTATCCAATAATAGACACATTTTATGAAGACTTCTAGTTTATTGGATATCAGTAAAATATCTTGTAATGTAACATTAGCTATTACCAAATAATATATGGCAATGATTTTAAATATCGAATAGTCTTATTGACTTAATTAGCAAACAAAAAAACAGCAGTCTCCTGCTCCTTTCCCTCCCCTGTCTTTCCTGTTCCTTGATTCCTACTCCACAGCAGTAATCACCCTCAGCTATTTTAACTCTAATTTAGTACTAATTTATTTTTTCTATTTTTCCGTGTTCTCATAGAATACATTTGTATTGTATTTGGAGGATTTTGAAATTCAGAAGTAGATATCCACTACTACCCTTACATTATATCCAGATATCAATATTATCTACTAATCTTGCATTGTATGTTGTAGGTAAAATAACTATATTCTGTTATTTAGGCTTTTATTTTAAAATATCTAAATTTTCTTTCATATATATGTCACTGGATATGATATTTTAATATTGGAGATTGTTCTTATTCAGAATTGGCTCTGTTGGTTGTAAGTTCCTCGTTTTTGTTTGTTGAGGTCTCTGTCTTTCACACCACATCGTAATTACCCAGTAATCCTTGGTTGTCTACTCTATTACGAATAAAGCACTAAAAAGCTGATTGGAAGCCCTAAGTATATGAAAGAGATTTCTGGCTAGCAGGTGGCACATTAATTTAAAAAACTTTTCATAAAATTATTGGAGGATTTCTGGTTTTCAAAATCTATGGATTCTTTTTCTTCTTTGCGAAGGTAAATTCCCCTAAGAGAATTCTCCAGTCTTAGGGGAGAACATCCTGACAGCAAACGTCCTGAGAGCAAAATCAGGACAGGGGCATGAGCCCCCTGGATTGGAACATAGTCCATCAATTAATCCCTGTTTCTGTTTTGCTTCCAGACCCTAGTAATACCTACTGTTCCTGGATTCGGAGTTTCTCAGATTCGATCTGTACAGAGAGTATGCTGCCAATCTTCTACTGGATTGGGGAAAAGTTCTTCTTTGCTGTGTGGGCGGATGAGAAGGCAGCTGGTAGGCTAAGTGCTTTCAAGTCCCCTGGCACTTGGAGGGCTATTTGGTGTGCATGCTTATTGAGTTATTCTTGGTTTTGCAGACAAGTAACCTTGTGACCAGGTGTTGCTCCACTCTCAGCTTTGGTTACAGATTCTGCTAAGTAAGCTGTCACTTTTCTATTGTCCTATCACCTCCTAAAATACTGCTGTTGTTGCCTCTCCTTTCCTTTTTACTTGGCATGTATTCCCTTTGAAAACGTCTTCACTGTTAATTTAAAAGGATTTAGAATGCAACAGAGATAAACGCGTGTTTAACGTATCATGTTTATAAAGAAGTCCACCACGTCTTTCTTTCATGGGATCTAAGCATGATCATTGAGATGTAATACAGAGGAAATAAATTTCAAAAATTTTTAAAGTTACCTGGCAGAAATTTAGATAGCTATTTTCTGTTTAAAACATCAAGTCAGTATTCATATCTTTTTTTTTCCTTTTAGCCTCTGTTATGGCTTGGATGCTTGATGCCTCAAAACCTCATTTTGAAATTTGACCTCAGTGTTAGAGATGGAGCCTCATGGACAGTGTCTGGGTCTTGGGGGCAGATCCCTCATTAATAGAAAAATGCTTTGCCTGAAAGGGAGTAGTGGTAAGTGAGTTTTTGCTCTATAAGTTCCCAAGATAGCTGGTTGTTTAAAAGAGTCTTGTATCTCCCTGTCTCTCTTTCTTCCTCCTTGCCAAATGATCTCTGTACATGCTGGCTCCCCTTCACCTTTCGCCATGAGTAAAAGTAGTTAGAAGTAGTCATCAGATGTAGATGCTGGCACCATGCTTCTTGTACAGCCTGCAGAAGCATGAGCCAAATAAAACTCTTTTCTTCATGAATTACCCAGCCTCAGGTATTCCTTTGTAAAGCACTAAATGGACTAAGATAGTATCTGAGTCTTAGTATTTTCAAGAAAATTTGAGCCGTATTACCAATAACCAATGAGTCATTGCTTCTCACTCTTTCTTCATTTTTAATACATTCTGTCCTTTCTAGCCACACCACCAGAATCCTTTATATAATCTAGGACAGGATACTAATTATCAATTTATTTTCTACCTATTTAGAGTGTCCTTTGTTTGGCTACCTTGAAGTTTTACTTAAGGGGTTACCATGGCCCTGTAGTAAATTCTTTACTTGTGTTCTGAGTGTCTTCCCCTTTCCTAGACTGTAAAGCATAAAGCTTGAGTTCATTCATTGTTGAATGAGAAAATGAAGACTGCAAATACTTGTCTGTTAAGTTCAGAAAACAGTGATTAATATAACAGGTAGATTCAAATAAAACTTTTAAGAGTATTTTCTGTTCCCATGCTACATGAAAGATACTTGAGTTAAAGGAAAACAAACAAGATGTAGAAAGGAAAGAAAGAGAAAGAGAGGGTATCAGGTGAAAGAAAGTTTGGTATCAGCAAGCCCCATGGAGCAGTGCCCAAGATGCCTAGAAGTCCTGTCATCACCTGCCTTTCTCCTTGCTGCTACCTCGTGAGAATTGCCATGGAATGCAGCCAGAAAGCCACCAACCATCAGTGATGCTGATCTGTGCGGCATAAACGGTCTCATGTCAGTGGCTTTGGATACTCATAGACTCTTGGAAATGAAATTGGGATATGAACCAAAAGTGCTGTAAATGGATTATTCTAGTAAAGACTTGATTAAGAATTAAATTATTATTTTTCCAGCTTTCTAAGGGTAAGGTAAAAAACTATATCTTGTCCACTTTCTTCAGTAACAGATTCCCAAAGTATAGTTTGTGGATTTCTACATCAGAGTCATCTGGTGTAATTGTTAAAATAATATTACGCATGGCCCTACCACACTATCTTGGGAGAATTCCTGGAGTGGAGCCCAGGAATATGCTTTTCTTTTCTTTTCCTGTTTTTTTTTTTTTTTTTTTTTTTTTTGAGATGGAGTCTCGCTCTATCACCCAGGCTGGAGTGCAGTGGCGTGATCTTGGCTAACTGCAACCTCCATCTCTCAGGTTCAAGCGATTCTCCTGCCTCAGCCTCCGGAGTAGCTGGGACCACAGGTGCCTGCCACCACACCAGCTAATTTTTGTATTTTTAATAAAGGCGGGGTTTCACCATGTTGGCCAGGCTGGTCTCGAACTCCTGAACTCAGGAGATCTGCCTGCCTCAGCCTCACAAAGTGCTGGAATTACAGGGGTGAGCCACCATGCCCAGACCCAGGAATGTGCATTTTTAAAGAAACATCCTAGATTGGTGGTATGCACACTGAAGTTTCTCTGCTATGATTATTATCTCTACTTTGAATAATTTCCAGCAGGGAGAAAATTATTTATACTAATTAATAAAGAAATTTAAAAGTTTCTGTTTGTTTTTTGGTAAATTTTTCTCCTACATTGGTATGAAGAACCTTCATTACCTGTCTAAACTTTAATCCTCTACACATACATGACTTTTAAAAATATTATTCTTAACTATAAATCTACTTACTTATTTGTTCATCCATCTATCCATCTCTTGTTCATTTGTTCATTCATGCATTTAACAGATGTTTATTGACTAGAATTATGTATTAAGCATTTTGTTAGTCAGTGACCTAAAAGTATAACTTTAAGCAAAAGAAATAGAGAAGAAAGGGTGAGGGCTTGAGGAATATATATCTGGGTATGGATCCTACATATGTTATTCATAAACTATATGAACTCAGGCAAATTAGTTTAATCTTTACACATTTAATTCCTTAACTTCAATAGGTAAATAACGATTTCTACCTTGCAGAGTAACTGTGGACAGTAAGTCACATAATTGTTACAAATTATACCATTCAATTTGTGGCACATAATGTTAAGACTTCTTGCTATATTATTACAATAATCATTGTGATTATTCTCCTTGTATACCTTGTACAATCTCCCACTACTGAATTATGCTGGCTGAGGATTTGAGACTCTCCGTCTTGAAAGTGTTAACCTAACAGGGATTTCTTCCAGATGTGAAATGTACAGCTTAGGAATAATATCAAAAATCAACATAATGACTTGGTGTGGTAGCTCACGCCTATAATCCCAGCACTTTGGGAGGCCCAGGCGGGCAGATCACTTGAGGTCATGAGTTCGAGACCAGCTTGGCCAACATGATGAAACCCTGTTTCTACTAAAAATACAAAAAAATTTGCTGGGCATGGTGGCATGCACCTGTAATCCCAGCTACTTGGGAGGCTGAGGCAGGATAATCGCTTAGACCCAGGAGGCAGAGCTTGCAGTAAGCCAAGATGGCACCACTGCACTCCAGCCTGAGTGACAGAGTGAGACTCTATCTCAGGAAGAAAGAAAAATGAACATATTACTATGTTTTTACATCAGTAACAAAGTGGACACTCAAGAATCAACTTAAGACTCTAATGAGAGTAAAATACAGGCAAAGTAATATGTGAAGCTAAGAGCACTGGAAACTGAGAAAACTGTTAAAGAGATTCAGGAAGGTAAAAACTGAAGAAATTCTCTGAGTTTAAATTTTATGTTGTGTGTAATCTTTATGTGCTATAATCATTGTAGGTAGAGAAGGGAATAGCAATGAAAAGAATGCTTTCTCTCCTTTAACTATTAGCCAGATAGAGGAAAGACCCATGAAGATGAATAATTAATATGCCAAACGGAAATGTGATAAAAGTATATATGAAATATTCAAACCACAGAAAAGAAGAAAATAGTTAAATTTAGAGATAGCATATAAAATATCTATTGAAAAAATGTTAAAAAACACAAGCCCACTCTTAGCATTTGCAAGGTTCATGCAAGAATGCAAATAGAGCCCTGAACACCATTTGTCTAAATATTTAAAAGTTCTAAATCAAACTAACCAAATTTTATGCTAAACATGTATTAGATCCCTATTGTCAAAAAACATGGATCTTTATAACATATGGAAAGCCAGTATAAATGTCAATTACTTGAGCTCCAGTAAGTTCCTTGTGGGAACTTAGTGGTAGAAACATAAAAGGACCTAAGCTTCCCTTTCCAAAAGCCTCTTTTCTTTTACTACCCCAGGCTCAGACTTACAAAGAAAGGATCTAGGTGCATCCCAGCTTGCCCAGTTCAACTTCCATCCATCACCGCAGCGAAAAGCTACTACTTATCTACCTGCCCAGCCCAGGGGTGTGCACACCATTCGATCAAGACCTTTGGGCAGGTAACTCCGGATTTCTGGGTACACTGAACATGCCTGGGGCTGGGGGAAAGGAGAACAGGCCTCTCTAAAATACGGGACCTAGAACGGAAGACTCTCTTTCCTTGGCCTAGGTTAGGTTTTAAGCAAATGTCCCACAAAAGACGTCAATAGTGATGACATAAATATAAGTTTGGAAAATACGTAAGAAGGAAAACGAAGGATTCAGAAGAAAAAGATGGAGGAGGTTCTGAGAAAGACCAGCATGAGCAAAGGCACAGAGATGGAAAAGAATATACTTTGCCTTGAAAGAGTTAACACAACAAGCACCGCAGGAAATCTGCCCTCCCCACACCAGACTTGGTGCACAGTCAATGCACTGCAGCCTCTAGAGGGAGGTGGAGTCAAGAACTCAGATCCTATGAATAGCTGCATCCCTGGCCTACGCAGCACTCCTATCCTTTTCCCAGCTTCTTCCCCCCAGCCTCTGCACCCCCCAAAAATGTCAGGAGCCTTCTCTTCAGGACTTCCTAGCTCTCTGGGCAGTGTTTTTAGTGAGATGAATCCATCTCCCCAGCCCCCACCCTGCCAGTTGTCACTGGTATTTCCCTCAACCCTCACTCAGTAGCATTACTTGGGAAAAAATACTACTGTAGGGGTTCAACTGTCTTATAGGTCTAGAGAATGCTACCTTTACCTCTTTTCAACGTTTGCTTCTTTGTCCTTTGTAGGTAAGAAAACAGCTTTATGTTACAGCATTAAGAGTCTTTTCTGGCCAGGCACGGTGGCTCATTCCTGTAATCCAGCACTTGGGAGACTGAGGCGGGCGGATCACGAGGTCAGGAGATCAAAACCATCCTGGCTAACACGGTGAAACCCAGTGTCTACTAAAAATACAAAAAAAAAAAAATTACCCGGGCGTGGTGGCGGGTGCCTGTAGTCCCAGCTACTCGGGAGTCTGAGGCAGGAGAATGGCGTAAACCCAGGAGGTGGAGCGAGTAGTGAGCCAATATAGTGCCACTGCACTTCAGCCTGGGCGACAGAGTGAGACTCCATCTCAAAAAGAAAAAAAAAAAGTCTTCTTCTGTGTGTTGAGAATGTTATGGTCAGGAGAAGGCAGAGCCTAGAGACATCTTAAAGATTAGTGAGTCAATACTTTCAGTAATGCCCCTTATGACTCACACCTTCTTTAAAAAAGGCGGGGTGGGGGGCTTTGGGGAAAACTCATACAGAAGTCATCTTATCAATGCGCAAAAGGAAATTCAGTAACCAAAAGCAAGTTTTATTAAGTGTTCAGGTAAAAGTGAGCATTATTGGAAGGAACTGTACAAATGAAGTGATCACTATCTTCATAAAAAGAAAAAAAGAATGGAGCTGTTCCAGTGTAGAAAAGATTAAATATTTAATTTTAAGATAACCTCATATTGTTCATGGATAAGTCTGCTCCTGTCCTCTTTTCTGGGATTAGCCATAACGAAAAGTCTTCTATTTAAACATATGACTTCCCCTCTGCCAGAATAATTTTATGCTTATTAAAATTTCTGATCATAAGTAATTGCCAGAAACTTCTTACTCTCACTTAGACCTTATTTCTCTAGCTTCTCATCTGCTCTGGCCCTTCATGTTTGGCAGAATGATCAGCTTTTTTGATTCACAATCCTGCGTTTCTACCCTTGCCTTAGGACTAGAAGATACATAACAATATAAGTAAGTGTGGCTCAATCTCACTTCAGGTGTAGGCAGAAGGAGGGAGAGATATTCATAGGTCTATTTGGAAAATGAAGGCATAGCAGCCTTCAACTCTAGACATCTTGGTTCTAAGGATCCTAATAAGCTGATTCAGAGATTTTACATATATATATATGGGATTCAAGTTCCCAAGGACATGATATGTAGACATAAATGGTTTTGGGGTCCAAGGTCAGAATGAAAAGCAGGAAAAGGGGCAGGTTATAAAAGAAATGGACCAGGCATATAGGATAGTACTAAGATTTGAATGTGTCCCCCAAAGTTCATGTGTTAGAAACTTAGTTCCCCATGCAACAGTGTTGAGAAGTGGAATGTTTAAGAAGTGACTAGGTCATGAGGGCTTTGCTCTCATTAATGGATTAATGTCATTGTCCTGAGAGTGGGTTTTTTACAGAAGCAAGTTCAGCCATCTCTTGATCTCTTTTACCCTCTCTCAATCTCTTGCCTTCCACAGTATAATGATGCCGCAAGCTGATACTCACCTGAGTGGACTCCTTGATACTGAATTTCCCAGTTCAGAGTCTTCTGGGCTTATAACTCCAAAAAAGTTTCACTGGCTATGGATGAGATGGGTTGCTAAAATGTGGCTAAGCTTGGTTCTCTTTAGAGCAGCGATCACAAACCCAAATGCCTAATAAGGACAGATATATAAATGAATGAAGCAGATTCTGGGTAAGAGCATTATGAACACAGTGAGTAATTGGTGAAAACTGGCAAAATGAAGAGTATTCACATTGTCTAGTGAGAACAGCTGCTACTCAGTTGCAGGCAATTATTGCCATTTGAAAATAAGGCCCAGTGTTGTCATCTAAAGATTTATGAGGAGCTGAATATCTAAACTTTCAGGTGAAATCTCTTACTAAAAATGTGGACAGGAATTTACAAAGGAAAAACCATACTCTACTGGAAATAATAAAGCAAAGTCTGGTTGCAGACTATAAGTTTGAGATATCTATTTAGGTTTTAAGAAAATCTGAGTTGGCAAGTCAAACTCTAACCCTATCAGGAAATCTCTGAGCATTGGCCTAATAAAAGCTCGACAATGTTAAAAGTTATTAAACTCTGTTATTTCCCGCCTCTCCACTGTTTTCTATATAGACAGGATTTTCTTAAGCTTATTTCTGGCCTCTAACTATACCATTACTCACTTTGTCCCAAAGGGTAGTGAAGGGTAGTGAAGTGACACTTGGTTAGTGAGTATGGGAGCAAGAACTTAGTATGCCTAGCACTCCTCTTCCTTTCTTCCTCTTGAAGTAAACTACTCCTCAGGCAAAGGGACCTGCCACTGTTCTGCCAGGTACTTTATTACTTAGAAAATTGCTGCCCCAGACCTGAGTGGCTTGGTTTCAGTGATTGAATAGTTTGCCCAATTTAGGGATTGTGTTTGAGTGAGCAGACATGCTCAGTGTATGTGAAATAACATTCTGCAGCCTGAGCATTCTATGAGTTATAATTTAGCTTCCATATGTTACTCCATTCTATTTTTCAAATGAAGTCTTATGGGAAAAAGGGCTGCTATTTATCAGTTGCCTCTGAAGAACTTTAACAAATATGTGATCATTTTATTTTACCATCAACTAGTGTGCTGTTTTAAAGTCTGCTAAAATATCATAAAGCTTATTTTGAAAATATCGATCTTGTCCAATTTTTATTTATACATACAAAATCTAGAAGTCAATATCACTGATTTACATAAGGTTGCCCAGAAGTTACTGTCAAGACTATGGTAAAAAGTAAGATGAATTTCTTGTTTTGGGACTTGGAAGTTGTCACTCTCATTCTTACAACAAGAAAATAATCGAACAATTTGAAAAGGAACAACTCTTCTTAAATCTATCTAATAATTGCTGTCACAGGGCAAGCTGCCACCATAAAAACCGGAGAGAAGGGCAATCAACTTAATGATTTGACAACTTCACAACTTTGCAAACCATCACAATTTGACATACTTCGAATTTTGAATTCTGATCTTTGCCTGGCCTAGGACTATGTGGTACATAAGATATTTGACACTTTTTTCTTATATATATATAAATATATACATATATTTGCTCTTTATATATACATATATATGTATATATATATAAAATAGGCTTTGTATTAGGTGATTTTACCTAACTATAGGCTAGTGTGAGTGTTCTGAGTACACTTAAGGTGAACAAGGCTAAGTTCTGTAGGTCTGGTGTATTAAATGCATTTTCAATTTACAAGATTTATGATGGGTTTATCAGAATGTAACCCTATTGTATGTCAAGGAAAATTTCTACTGTGTATCACAGTACTTTCATGAATCTTAACCTTCAGGAGCCTAAATAGATTCTTATGGAGAAGATGAGAAAAAAGTATCCCTTCCTGTTTCCAGCAGAAGGAAGGGAAAAGTAGCCATTTTGAAATGCACTCAGAGCTTTCTGTCCTCCTTAACAAAAGCGTGTCCTCAAGGGAAGCTCTTTTGTCACACCCTAATTGACTTTATTTTTACCAGAGCAAGGTCATTTAATAGAGAAAGCATTGACTTCCCAACAAATGGAACTGAAACAAATACACATCCAATAAAATTTTTTAAAAAAGGAATCTTGATAGTTTTTACAAAAATTAACAAGATAACTTATAGACTTAAATGTAAAATGAAAAACCATAAAAATCTAGAAGATAGCATAGGAGAAAATCTGTGTTGGGTGTAGAGTCTTAAACATAAGACCAAACCGTCATGAAATTAAAAAAAAAAGGCATAACTCAAAGATAGTGCAGGTTTGGTTCCAAACTGCCACAATAAAGTAAACATTACAATGAAGTGAGCCATGCAAGCTTTTTGGTTCTTTCCCAGTGCATATTAAAGTTATGTTAACACTACGCTGTAATCTATTAAGTATGTAACAGCCTTATGTTTTAAAAAGTACAAAGCTTCATTAGAAAATAATTTATTGCCAAAAATAATTGCTAATAATCACCTGAGCTTTCAGCAAATTGTAATCTTTTTACTGGTGGAGGATCTTGCCTCCATGTTGACAGCTGCTGACTGATCAGGGTAGAGGTTGCTGAAGGCTGGGTGGTTGTGAAAATTTCTTAACATAAGCCAGCAGTGGAGTTTGGCATATCATTTGACTCTTCCTTTAACAAAAGATTTATCTGTAGCATGCAATGCTGTTTGGTAGCGTTTTACCCATAGTGTAGCTGCCCAACAGGTTCACCTTGCCTGCTGCCTAGACAGAGTCAATTTATCAAAACAGGAGAGTTGCAACAACAAAAAGAAAATAATTCATGCAGAGCCAGCTGTAAGGAAAACTGGAGTTTTATTATTACTCAAATCAGTCTCCCTGAAAATTCGGGAATTAGAGTTTTTAAAGATAATTTCGTGGGTAGGAGGCCAGTGAATCTGAAGTGCTGATTGGTTGGGTTGGAGAAGAAATCACAGGGAGTCAAAACTGTCCTCTTGCGCTGAGTCAGTTTCTCTATGGGGGCCAAAAATCCAGATGAACAAGTTTATCGATCTGAGTAGTGCCAGCTGATCCATCAAGTGCAGGGTCTGCAAATATCTTAAGTTCTTAGGTTTTACAATAGAGATGTTGTCTGCAGGAGCAATTTCAGAGGGTCAGAATCTTGTAGCCTCCAGCTGCATAATTCCTAAACCATATTTCTACTCTTGTGGCTAATTTGATAGTCCTGCAAAGCCAGTCCAGTCCCGAGGCAGGAAGTGGGTTTGTTTTGGAACAGGGCTGTTACCAACTTTGTTTCAAAGCTAAACTATAAACTAAGTTCCTCTCAAAGTTAGTTTGGCCTACACCCACCAATGAACAAGGATAGCTCAGTGGTTAGAAGCAAGATGAAGTCAATTAGGTCAGATCCCTTTCACTGTAAATAACTTTCGCAGTTATGATTTTGCAATGGCAGTTTCAATAATAGAACTTGCTATACTGGAGTCAATCTTTTCAAGCCCTACCACTGCTTTATCAACTAAGCTTAGAAAATATTCTAAATTCTTTGTTGTCATTTCAGCAATGTTCACAGTATCTTAACCAGGAATAGATCCCATTTCAGAAACAACTTTCTTTGCCAATCCATAAGAAGCAACTGCTCACCCATTCAACTTTCATCATGAGATTGTAGCAATTCAGTCACATCTTCAGGCTCCATCTACAATTCTGCAGTTACTTTCTTCACTGAAGTCTTGAACTCCTCAAAGTTACCCATGAGGGTTTAAATCAACTTCTTCTAAACTGCTGTCGATGTTAATATTTTGACCTTCTCCCATGAATCGCAAGTGTTCTTAATGGTGTCTAGAGTGGTGAATCCCTTTCAAAAGGTTTTCAATTTATTTTGCCCAAATCCATCAGAGGAATCACTATCTATAGCAGCTATAGTCTACAAACCAAAAATGAAATTCTAAGCGCCCCCCAACCACCTCAATGGATCCCTCCTCTTGGCTAAGGGTATTCTGGAATTTGTCTGAAAATCTAGTTCAGGCCATGATGGAATAGGAGGTTGGACATACCTCATTATACTCCTCAAGTGTTAATGTCAACGAAGAACTTATGTCTAATAAGAAACATTTACAATATACTCTCTCTGAAGCCTGCTACCTGGAGGCTTCATCTGCATGACAAAACCTTGGTCTCCCTAACCTCTTATCAGTTTTTTTTTTTGACGGAGTCTTGCTCTGCTGCCCAAGCTGGAGTGCAGTGGCATGATCTCAGCTCACTGCAACCTCCACCTCCCGGGTTCAAGCGATTCTCCTGCCTCCATCCCCTGAGCAGCTGGGATTACAGGTGCCTGCCACCACATCTGGCTAATTTTTGTATTTTTAGTAGAGATGAGGTTTTACCATGTTGGCCAGGCTCGTCTCGAACTCCTGACCTCAGGCAATCTGCCCACCTCGGCCTCCCAAAGTGCTGGGATTACAGGCTTGAGCCACCATGCCCAGCCCCAACCCCTTATCTTAACCCAGACATTCCTTTTTACGGATAATAACTCTTTCAACCAATTGCCAATCAGAAAATTTTAAAATTTACCTATGACCCAGGAACCTCACCCCTTAGCCCTTCTAGGTCCAACCACTGTAGATCTTACATGTATTGATTGATGTATTATGTCTTTCTTAAATGCAGAAAAGAAAGCTGTACCCATGGGCACATGTCATCAGGACCCCCTAAGGCTGTGTCACAGGTGCATCCTTAACCTTGGCAAAGTAAGCTTTCTAAATTGATTGAGACCTGTCTCAGATATTATGGGTTCACAAGTCTTACAAAAGGTATTTATTAAATACAAATACTTGAAAGTCTAAATGACTCCTTGATCCATGGGTTGCAGAATAGATGTTATATGAGGAGCATAAAAACAACAAAACAACAACATTAATCTTCCTTTTTATCTCCATTAGGCTTCTTGCATGACCAGGTGAATTGTCAATGAGCAGTAATATTTTGAAAGGATTTTTTTAATAGTAACTCTCAATAGTGGGCTTAAAATCTTTAGTAAACCATGCTGTCAACAGATGTGTTGTGACCTAGGATTTGTTTTTCCATTTATAGAGCACAGGCAGAGTAGACTTGACATAATTCTCGACAGCCCTAGGATTTCCAGAATGGAAAATTAGCATTGGCTTCAACTTAAGTCCCCAGCTTTACTAGCCCTTAACAAGAGAGTCAGCCTATCTGTTGAAGCTTTGAAAAAATGCATTGACTTCTCCTCTCTAGCTATGAATGTTCTAGATGGCATCTTCTTCCAATAGAAGGCTATTTCATCTATAATGAAAATCTGTTGTTTAGTTGTTTATGTTATCTAGCCAGGTCTTCTGGATAACTTCCTACAACTTCTACATCAGTACTTGCTCCTTTACATTGCACTTTTATGTTATGTAGTGACTTCTTTCCTTGAAACTTACAAACCAATCTCTGCTAGCTTCAAACTTTTCTTCTGCAGCTTCCTCACCATTATCAGCCTTCACAAAATTGGGGAGAGTTAGGGCCTTGCTCTGGGTTGGGCTTTGGCCTAATAAGGGAATGTTGTGATTGGTTTGATCTTCTATTCAGACTACTAAAATTTTCTCCATATCAGCAATAAAGCTCTTTCTCTTTCTTATCATTCCTGTGTTACTGAAGTAGCACTTTTAATTTCCTTCAAGGACTTTTCTTTTGCATTCATAAGTTGGCTGTTTGGCACGCAAGGCCCATCTTTCAACCTATCTCAGCTTTTCACATGTTTTTCTCACTAAACTTAATCACTTCTAGATTCTGATTTAAAGTGAGAGACGTGTGACTCTCCCTTTAACTTGAACATTTAGAAACCACTGTAGGGTTATTAATTGATGGAATTTTAATATTATTGTGTCTTGGTTAATAGGGAGGTCCAGGCAGGGGCTGAGACAGCCAGTCAGTAAAGCAGTCTGAATGTACAGAACATTTATTATTTGTTTGCTGTTTTATATAAGTGCAGTTCATAGTACCCCAGAAGAATTACAATAGCAACATTGATAAGCACTGATCACACATCACTATAACACATATAGTAACAATGAAAATGTTTGCTATATTGGGAAAATTGCCAAAATGTCACACAGAGACACAAGCGAGCACATGCTGTTGGAAAAATAGCATTGATAGACTTGCTCAATGCAGGGTTGTCACAAACTTTCAATTTCTAAAAAGCTGATATGTCAAGGGCAATAAAGCAAAGCCCAATTAAATGAGGCAGGTCTGTTTTGATAAATTGAACTTCATTAAAATTAAAAACTTCTGCTCTGAAAAGACATTTTTAGGAAAATGTAAAGACAAGCCATGTGTTTTGCAAAAATCAAAATATTTGTAAAAACACATACCATAATATATAAAAAACTCTTAAGACCCAACAATAAAAAATAAAACCCAATTCAAAAAGCGAGCCAAAAATCTAAAAAGACACCTCACCAAAGAAAACATACAGAGGCACAAGCAAGCTTATGAAAAAGTTTTCTATATTATATGTCATTAGGAAATTGCAAATTCCCTAATTTCCACTATTTCGTTTACTAACCTCAATGACATACCCATGAAACAGTCCCAGTTGTTGGGTTTGTTTTTCTATGTTGAGGGGTAGGAGACATACAGCCATAGCTCTCAATTAATTGGGCTACTCCCTTCCTTCATGATTTAATTATTCTAGAATGCTTGAAAAGGTTACATTGCAGAACCCTGTGACTGCTCTCCACAGATTAGAATCCTGAATAATAGTATAGTTTATTAACGTGGTTAGCTTACACTGTGTATCTACCATACATGATTCAACAAATACGTGTCAGCTCTGAAATACACTTGAAATATATTATGCAACCATATATACATCCTCTAATTACCCAATGAAGTAAATAATGAGACATTATCACTACATAAAAACAAAACCTTCACAAATGAATGTTTGAGAACACTCAAAAATATTTACCAATACTTATCTTAAAATACAGTTGAAATTTGCATTTTTATGTGAATATTAAATTGAGATAGATAAAATCTGAATTTCCAATTCTTAAAGTAATTCAGGCATTTCTAGTTCTTAATATCTCATTGACAGAGTGAATAGGATTATATTTTCACATATCTGTTATTGAAAGAGCCTGTTGCACAGAAATATAGATTTTTCAGTTTGGGGAAATTACTAAATTTTTTAGTATCTTCCTTTTCTTTAATTATTTCTTCTTTTTCATAAATCCAATATTGAATATATAGAGATATTGGTATTTTACTTGTGGGCACAAGGAAATTGCAAAATAAAAATTCTACTTAGACAATTTTCTATAACAACATCATCTTTCAAATGATAAGAATAAATAAAGCAACACATAATAAGAATTCTTAGCATCTTCTGTTTATATGAATATGAAGAAATCTGCCTATTTTGGACTCCTATGTGAATGTGAACATTCACAAGCCCATGTTTGTATGTGTGCTGGGTTAGATGAGGATCAAGGAGATTTGGAATGCAAAGCAGACTAGCATTAATATGAACACAAGAAATTACTTACTAAAATTTCAGTGATACCATCATCTATTTACACAAAGGCAAATGCATAGTTTTGGTTGGTTTGATATTAATAATACAAAATAAAAATGAACATTGAAATGTCAGTGCTTGAAGTTTAAATCACTAAGGTCTTTTGGAGAGAGTTTAGTAGTGTTTTAAAATACACACACACCACACACACAAATACACACATATACACACCTAAATTGTGTTAGAAAATATTGTATATTAAAATGTAAATAGTGGACACTCTTCTATTGTAGTATACATACTACAATATGTATGTATACTTCTACATCTAATGTATACATACATTGTATATTCATTTTATACTCAATTTGCTAAATTAAGTAGAGTATACAAATTCATTATGTTTTAATTAGTGTAGCTTTTATAGTACATAGTTCAGTGAAAGCCACAAAATAAAGAGAAGTTTCAAAGTCCTTAGATTCCAGAAGTAAGTAGTTAAAAACCATGGGAATTTACTGAATAGCATCTAGCCATGATAATTCCTGATGAGCACACACAAATAATCAAGAATGACCATTAAATGTATGGATACCTTTAAAGCTAAACTCTGGGGAATGTATGCCTTCATAACTTACCAATATCCTCCATTGTTAACTGAGGTATGCTTAAGGACCTATGGCTGGCACTTACCAAAATAGAGAAATAGAAAAACAGAAGTGAAAGGTTTATGAACCATATACTTTTGCCATGTAAAGAATTATAGTCTATTTCATAGTTTTCACAGCCATTAACTAATTCTAGTGTTACTCTGATTAAATTCAGCAAATAATACTTAAGCACACCATGGTAATCTCTGTGAAGAAATGAAAACTAGTGGTTCTTGACTTCGAGATGTTTTCACTGTAAAGAAGGATGAGTTAGGCTATAATGGCAAAATCATACTACTTACCAACCATGAACGAATCTAGTATGGTGTATATAGATAGTTATATACATGCTTAGAGGTCGACTTTGTGTGGTTAACTTAGTATTACTTTTGAAAGAGCAAAATATGACATTATGGGTAGGTTAATAAAGCAGATATTTAGAATGACAATAAAGCAATATTTTAAGAATTTTTGGAGGAATAAATAAGAAAAAGAATGAATGACATAATTTTTCTAGTTTACTATCTTCATGAAGAGATAAAATATCTGTAGGAAGTGTCATGAACACAATTGATAAGTAATGTACTCCAAGAATACAATGAGAATGTACAAAAATAATCTGTAAAGCATTAAGACAGGTTGAGCAAGATTGTCATTTGAGTCCTGTGGAAAGAAAATCAGACTGGTATTTTTTTCTAAATGCTTTTCAAAATAACAATGGAAAAACAATTAAAAACTCCAAGCCTTGCTCAATGCCACATTATGCAGATAGAATAGGATACTCTCAATTTTCTTGAATTTATGCATGAAACAGTTTTTTATCTTTACATAGAAAACAATGACTTGTCTGTGCAATTTTTCTTGCTTTGATATTCTAAAACATGAATATTCTTTATTAATTAAAAAGGTGTCCATGGTTGCAGATGAGTTCCCTATAAAATATCTCTTGCTAACCAGTAACCAAGAAAACAGAATGCTTCATATGATTTTGAACGTGAACCTATCTCAGCAATCCTATTACAAAATCCAATTATGCTTGTCTCTGCCTTTATGTTTCTTTCGAATGTTTTTAACGTACTTTTTCATCTCCACCTCAGGCAGTCAGGGCTCCTTTTCATTTCGCCTTCCTCAAAAACTTCTATACTTGAACCTCACAAATCCTGGAATTTCAAAAACTAAAAGGTATTTCCCAATTAATTCATTAACAGAACATGTTGAAGGTATAACAACTTTTGCTTACTCTGAACAGAATGGAGGAGTTAATACATTTCTTCCATCTGAAAAGAAATTGTAAAGATCTAAACTTTCTTTGAATATCTACTTGCTCTCAAATAATTTGGTCAGTTGTCTTACTTTAACTTGAAAACTATATTCTTAACGTACGTACACAATTCTAAAAAAAGTTTTAGTCTCAGTTAGAAAAGTCATATGTAAATAATTAGAGACAGTAACTAATTATTAATGTCTTTTTAAAAAATGTTTATGTATATATAATTTCATCTGTTCTAAAAATAATTAGGCAAAGCAATCATGTTAGAAGACACTTCGCTCTGATAAACTGTTGAGATGTTAAAATCAGGAGAAATTGGTAGAATTACAGAAACTACAGTTTGGAAGTAACCTCAGAGGGCATCTCATTTAACTGGCTGCCTCATGGATTGATGCCTTCAGAAAGGTTTAGGAGTAGTGACTGTGCAGTTTCTGCTTCAGTACTTCCAGAGAAAGAACACTCACTCTTAATACAACCAGGCTTTTCAGTTTCTGGAGAGCACAGTTAGAAATCTCTTTCTATTCTTCAGATCAAGGTCTACTTTATAACTCAAACAGTAGAACTCCCATATATTTTTGTAAACAACTTTACATTTCATAGCTTAAAGTTGAAATAAAAATGTGCATCCGTGGCCCTAACTAGGATAAAGTAATATTCAAAACCAAGAGTGGCATCTGACATTGTTCACTTTTGAGACTGAGTTTTGTTTTTGTTTTTTTAAATCAGGCAATATGGTAATCTGTTAGCCTAAGAATATCTATACTTACATGTTCAAACTATAGAATAATTATTTCTTATAATGACTGCCTAGTAGACTAGAACAACTAGGGGGCATGTGGAAAGTTAAGAAAAATCATATTACTTGAGGAATATATGGCTATATTAGTGTGTGTGTTTGCATGTGTGTGTGTGTCTATATAAATGCTTGTAACTGTGTGGATGTGTCTGTGCAGATTTTATGTTGTCTATAGATGTGTCTGTGTGCATGATGAATAAGAAAGGAGTAGAAAGTAAAGATTTATTGTTAGCTCTGACTTCTTCCTTGCATATCATTTAAACTTAACAGCAAATAACACTGGAGAGAACACATTTGACTGTTATACCTGCATACTTGAATCATCTGTGTTCTTACTTGAATATGGGACAAATAGATATTTATAAACAGCTTCAGGTGAATTGTATATTATGTTGAATATGTATATTAGATAAAATCCAAAGATTTTTCTGATGTCATGTTGTGTGTTTGTTGGGATGTGTGGGGTTTTTGTGTGGGGGTGGATAACAATCATTTCTGTTTGGGGAGCCATGCAATTTGACCACATGTAGCCAAGTTAAAGATTGGGACTCCCAGCCCAAACTAAAAATTATGGGTTTTTTTGTATAGAAGAAGTAAAAGATTTTGCCTCCAAAATGTTAAGAGAAAATGAATAGATTTTGCAAGCACATACTATTACCTTCTGAATATCATATTTTGAATATTTTAAAAATTTGGAATTGAATTTTAAATATCATTTATACATTTGAAATCTATGTTTTCTAGATACCCAGAAGGTAAAACCAAAGGATTCATAAAAATATATTGGCAATTTTACTAATTAGAAGTTCTATACACAAATAAGTGAAACCAAAGATATGAGGCTTTTTAAAAATCATTATTATTATAAGAGCATAGATTTGGTTGTCTTTGTTCTATTTTCTGTGCTAAAATTGCCAGCCATCTTGAATATGGCATCTATTATATAATTTATATAATTTGAATATGCCAAATAGTAAATGGTCAATTTTATTTTATAAAAAAAAGCAATTATTGAATTTTATGTTTTCCATTGTCTAAATATATGCTATTGTTTGCCATACAAGTTTAGAAACGTTAAAAAGACAGTTATAAGAAATTAAATCTTTAAATAATTACAGGCTTTGGAGTTTTTTTCTTTCCTTTGTGTTCTTTTCTATAGCTTTTAAAGTTTCTTGGATAGAGGACCCCCTATTTACTTCTCTTGGCTTTGATATTTTTTGGACTCATTGCACTTAGAGCATACTCTCTGATACATTGCGGTTTACTTAAAAAAAATTCTAATCTGGTGCTCCACACCTTCCTATAACTAACTAGACATTTAGCCTTATAATTTACATAGGTTAAGATATAAATCTTGAAAAAGAATATGCAATAACATATCAGACAAAATAAGCATACTTAAAATACATAAAAGGACTCCTAAAAATTGTCTATTAAATGTCAGATAACTAATTGTTTTAAGTGCAAAAGAAATAAATGAACATGTCACAAAAGAAGATCTAAGAATGCCCAATTAACACATGAAAAGCTGTCTAACAGCTTCAGTCAATGGGAAAATGCAGATTAAAACCACAATAAGATATTGTTGTCCAAAGAACCTACAACATTTTACCCTCCCACCAGCAACGTATGAGATTCATATCTGTTTTACATCTTCACCAACATTTTGTATTGTCAGTACCCCCCAACATTCTTTTGGATGTGAAATAGTATTTTACTGCTGAATAATATTCTTACACATTTCTTTTCCTGTGAGAGTTTCTTATAAATATAAATTTACACTTATTCCGTGGTTAAGCAATCCCACCCCTAGGTGTTTTCTCAAGAGAAATAAAACAAACATATGTTCACAAAATGAATTTTACAAAGTATCATGATAGCCTAATTCCTAATAGCTAAAAGTAGAGTACTCCAAACTTCCATGAACAGCAAAATTTTTAAAAATTTACTTTTATTCTTATTTTTTTATTTTTAACTCAGCTTTTTATCCCAAGTCAAGAACTGCTAAACAAATTATGGCATAACAATGAAATGGAAAGCTACACAGTAGCAAAAAGGAAAAAAAAATAGGAATGCATGCAATATTATGGATAGATTTAAAAATTATTATGAGTAAAAGAAGCCACTTTCTAATGTTGCTGGCTATTAATTTTTACAAAGACATTTCTATCACTTTCTACATAGTTCTAAATATGTGCTATCCAGTATGTCCAATAGCTATATGTCAGCGGCTATTACCACCAACAAGGAGCTGTTAAGAACTTGAAATATGGCTTGTGTGATTAAGAAAGTAAATTTTAAATTGTATTTAACTTTAATTAAATAAATGTTAAGATTAAATAGCCACATGTGACTAGTGGGAACTATACTGGACAGCACAATTCTATATCTCGTTTAGAGTGGTAGTTAAATGGGTGTGTACAATTGCCAAAATTCATCAAGCTTAAATCTGAGTAGTTTATTAAATTTATATTATACCTAAAAAAGGCAAAAAAGTTGCAATGTTTATTTGTGAAAGTTTCCATTTAAAAACTAAAACAAGAACTCAAAATTAATGACATAGTTTTGAGGGCATATTCAAGAAGGTAAGAAGAATAAAGCTTCACGTATCCTTAGAATTCAAATAAAACCCGACAGATTAAAACATTAAAGGAGAATCTCAGACCTAACTCAGTTTCTGTCTTTCCAAACGTTACTTTATGTTTATTTCATAGGTGGAATGTTGTACAGTGTCATCTGTTGCTACCAGTGAGTGACATCTGTGATTAATCGCATTGCCTTAATTAAACAGCAATTGCCTGGATGTGATCACCTGCAGTGGCCAGCCTCCAATCAGATTAGCTCCCAAACTCCAGTTCTCTCATTGCAATTAACTTCACTTTTCACATAGGTCCCCAGAGAATTTCAATATGTCTGATGTCAAGAACGGAAAGTGAGACAGCCAGGTGGGAGGGGGTCCCTGGAGAATCTCCAACCAGCCTGCGCACTGGGAATGCGCACTGGAGTGAAAATACAGAAGTTGGTGCCCTTTGCAGCAGCCAGGAGTCCGACTCCTCCTCTTCCTGTGTGGAACCTGGAATTCAAACGGCTGGGTAGGAAGCACGCTAGCAGGGGCCTCTGGCCTTGCTGAGGGTCCCTGTTTCCCCTTTTCCTTCCTTTTCACCCAACAAAACCCTGCTTTACTCACCCTTCAAACCATCTATGAGCCTAAATTGTCGTGGTCGTGGAATGGACAAGGACCCAGTCTTTAGCTGAACTAAGGGAAAGTCCTGCTTTTTGGCGCGCAACAGGGGAGCTCAAGAAACAGTGAGTGAAATGGGGACTCAAAACCTCTCACTGTTGATCCTAAGCATTTTCATCCTCAGACTACTGAGGGTGGGGGAAACACGACCCCAAACTCCGTTGCTCCGTTGGGGGTCGTCGGGGGAAAGGCCTTTTCCTTCCTTTTTCAGGACAGACAGGAAAGCCGGGGCTCCTCACTCCCCCTCCCCTCTGTGCCCGGGACGGGATGCATGGCCCAAGGGTCCCACACAGCTGGCTAGATGGTTCTCAGACACAAGCCACCGCAGCCTTCCTTTTCCCCT
Source organism: Homo sapiens (assembly GCF_000001405.40). Lineage (NCBI taxonomy): Eukaryota > Metazoa > Chordata > Mammalia > Primates > Hominidae > Homo > Homo sapiens. Next base: position 71,631 of record NW_013171806.1, read on the forward strand.
GCCAGGGGGTTAAACTTTATCAGAGAGTAATTAAGCTTTAACCCTGCTGTTGAAATCACTTGCAGACGAATAAGAAGTTCTTCCCCAGGCATTTTTAAACCTTTTTTCACTCCCCTTTTCCACCTCCTCAACAAGTAAACCCTTAAAGTTTTTTTTTTGTTTGTTTGTTTGTTTTTTTTTAGAAGACACTTTACTAGGCCACTCCCTCTGCTCCCCAGCTATCACTGTATGCTCTGCAAAGTTTTGCTTGTGAAATAAATCCTCTATTTTGTTTTACATCCTGAGGCCATGGCTTATAACTCTGGCGGCAAGGATTTGTTTAGCAATCCTGCCTTAGGGGATGAGCCCTCTCTAATTCAATATCTGCATGTCCCCTGTCTCTTAAAGGGCCTCACTCACGGCATATGGAACTAACCACGCCCCTAACTAAGAAGGCACACCTTAGTTGCAGTTAGCACACAATTAAAGCAACTCTCCAAGTTTTACCTTAAAGTTCAAAATTGCTAGGAGTTGAAACTACTAGAAATATATTTACATGCAAGGTGAGTAAGAACAGTAAAATGTGTTTTTTAATAAAAGGTTATAAGAAGGCATGGAAATGTAAACTTTTGCCTAGGGTTAAAGGATTGTTTGAGTTAAATTAGGAAAAAGCTGAAGGTTCAAAGAAGTGGTGGGAGAACTGTGGAAATTAATCTTGCAGAAGAGATTCTATGTGAACATATTGACTAAATTCAGAAAAGGGTATTGTTTGGTTTTTCTGTAAATTGAAATAAAAGCATAACAAGATTTTCCTAAGGTGCTAATCTGCTCTTTGGCACATTTGTAAAGGGTTATAACAGGTTTTTGCTTCTTTAAAATTTCTGAGTCATGATTTTGGCAAAATAAATAACTTTTGGTAACCTGGAATTCTATTTCATAATATCAAGTTATTTAAACCTCAAACATTTAACAGCCTTCCCAAAATCAAACCTCAGTTTCAAAATTGTCTTCCCTGGCACCTGGCTTTTCAAATATGTCAGAGGGCCCCTGAAGTGTCCAGAGAAGAGAGGTAAACAGGATTATTTGACATGTTTAGGTACATGGGATTGCAAAAATTATGCTCAGTCTTCTTTAGGTTGTATCTGGGTGAATAATCCTAATACATGTTCCAAAATTGTATGAGATTTCTAGAATTCTAATGGCTGAATATATGCTATCAGTCATAATTAAGGTCGTTATGTTAAGTTATTGTAAACCACGGAGATAACCAAGCTTCTTTGTCAATCGTGTTTCTAACTGTAAGTACCCTGGACATTTTGCTATTCACAGACAGTTGTTGCCTTGTTTAATCCTTCTCAAAGATGGTTTATAATGAGCTATAGAACTTTAACAGGTGCTCTCAAACACAGGCTTCTGGTAACTTTGGAAATTGTAACATTAAAATAAAGAAAAATATACAGGACTCATAAGGAGCTGAAATGCTCACAAATATCAAACAAAACAAGAGTTAACTAAATGGACTGAACTCAGGAAACTGAAACCAGGCTGGGAGCGGTGGCTCACACTTGAAATCCCAGCACTTTGGGAGGCCAAGGCAGGTGGATCACCTGAGGTCAGGAGATCAAGACCAGCCTGACCAACATGGCAAAACCTTGTTTCTACTAAATTAAAAAAAAAAAAATTAGCCGGGCATGGTGGCACATGCCTGTAATCCAAGCTACTTGGGAGGCTAAGGCAGGAGAATCACTTGTACCCAGGAAGCAGAGGTTACAGTGAGCAAGATTGAGCCATTGCACTCCAGCCTGGGTGACAAGAGCGAAACTCCATCTCAAAAAAAAAAAAAAAAAAAAGAAAAGAAACTGAACAAATCTTTTTAACCTTTGCTTGGAATATTGCTGATCCGTGTTTTGTTTTTCAGAGTCAAAGAAACTTTGAACTATTTATGGCCTTTAATAATTAAGTAAGGTATACTCCTGTGATCAAGACTTGGAGCATATTTGTTTCTCTCTGCCTGGTTCCTCTAGAAATTGGAAACTATCAGTGAGTATTTTTATGACAATATAGTTGTTTGCATCAGTGCAGTAAGAGTCCATTTTCAATGGCGGAATTCTTTTCTCACTCTTTTCGTTGTTTAATAATTATTATAGCAATAATAATAATAATAAATACCAATTATTACATTAACTCTCTGCATGTCTATGTTCTTATTGCATTTTCTTATAAGAACACAAGACGTATTGGATTATGACCAACTCTAATGATCTTATTTTACCATTTTAAATATCCTATCTCCAAATACAGTCACATTCTGAAGCACTGGGAGTTAGGATTTCAACATAGGATTTTGAAGGGGCACAGTTCAGTCTGTAACAGTGGTTAAAAACCCAAGTTCAGAAACCAAATTTTCTTTGCACAAATTGCAGTTTTGCAGATTAGGAGATATGAGACTTTGGCAAACTTGCCAAGACCTTGGTGACACTCTTTATGTCTTCTTGTTCTCATCTTTAAAATGAGAGGTGAAAGAGGATTAAAAATTATTACATAAAAACAAAAGACTTAGGATGATGATGAAATGCTGGTAATATATGTTAGATATTAGTATTTTTTATCTCAATAAATTCAATTGCTGTAACTCTTGATTCCTCATCTTGCTACTGTGCAATTGCCCTCCTCTTCCCTCAGTGTCACCCATCAAAGGGTAGATAGTCTCATTACAATTCTTACTTCTATATTTCTTTTCTGATTGATCAGTTCCGCCTCTTTATTGACACTGGGATTTATATGCATTGACTTAAAAATGGAGAAACTACAAGCAGCATTAGAGGCTGTTTTTTAATTAATGAGTCTCTCCGCTTACACCATCAAACTGAAGATTAGCTGTTGATTTATGAGATACCCTCAGCTTGTATCTTGTGCCACATCCAGATCATTGCCAATTCATTTCCAGAAGGAGGATCAGTACCATTATCTGCTCAGTATCTCTCATTTCAAGCACCTCTCAGAGAGAGAACTGAAACATCTTTATCATTACCAGCAGTAAAGCTAAAGCAAAAAGCTATTCTCTGAAGCCTGCTGAGGGGATGAAATTTTTCAAAAAATACATCTCTGGGAGATGGGAGAAAACCTTTTCCACACCTTCCCTGAGAGAAGCAAAAGGGATGTGAGAAAGGGAGGCATTCTCTTCTGCCAGGGTAACATACTCCTCCTATAGTAATCCCACATCACTGAGGGCCCAAGTTCCCAATGCTTCTGCTCTTTATTTCATCTAGACAGCCATTCTTTCTTGCTTTTTTTTTGTTTTTTTTTGAAACGGAGTTTCACTCTTGTTGTCCAGGCTGGAGTGCAATGGCGTGAACTCTGCTCACCGCAACCTCCCAGGTTCAAGTGATTCTCCTGCCTCAGCCTCCTGATTACCTGGGATTACAGGTGGCTGCCACCACGCCTGGCTAATTTTTTGTATTTTTAGTAGAGATGGGGTTTCACCATGTTGGCCAGGCTGGTCTCGAACTCCTGATCTCAAGTGATCCACCTGCCTTGGCCTCCCAAAGTGCTGGGATTACAGGCATGAGTCACCATGCCTGGCCAGCAGCCATTATTCTTATACACACCCACAGACCTAGAGAAGTTAGTTTGAAGTTTCTGTCTGTGCCATATGCTACACTTGAGACCAGTCCCATTCTCCACTTTTCCCATGATGTGAGTGTCAAGTTTTATCCAAGCCTTCACTCCAAACTCATCCTCTGATGCATTATTAGTTCTTCCTTCTAGAGCCCTGTTTTCCTTTCTTTACCAAGGAACTCCTTCCTTTCTTGAACAAGTTAGTATCTGGTCCCATTCATCAGAGCTATTCTGATACTATTGAGTCTATATAGGGTAAGGGTTAAAGCTTGTATTCTTTAATTACCCAGGAAAGGTTGCATGCACTATCACAAGCAGCTGTCAGGTACAATACAGTATCTGGCATGGGTTGGGAGGTAGAGGGTAGGGGGTATTGTTGAAGACTTTGCTAAAAAAAAAAAAACTTAGGTTTTACTGAAGATGCAAATTTAGTCAGTAAAGGGAGGGATACAAAATTCTCTCCCCATCTGCTCTTGGTTCATATGTTACTAAGCTTGGAAAAATTAGATGATTTTTTTAACCAGTGGTTTCCCCCCATTTTGTATTCATCTGTCTTATAAACCAATGGTTTTATAGGGGCATATTTTTAACTGCATGGAAATAAGAATATGTATATAATGAGTTTGTTTTACATGCAAAGTTTAACAGAAGTCATAATATTAAGAAATACAAAAAATTTGGAAAGAATCTAATTAAATTAAGAAGAGAAAATAATAAAAAGTGAAACTATAGGACAACAAAAAAATAAATATGTGGTAGTTGAGACTTCAGGATTAATTAATTCATTTTCAATACTTTTTAACAAAATAATTGTTATATCTACTATTGATTTAGAATTTACTAGGAGCGAGGCATTTCTCTAAATTTGTTTATATTATTATAAATCTTTATAAGTATAATATAAAAATTACTATGTTTATTTTACTATATTTATTTTAAATAATTTATTTATAAATTCACTATATTTATTTTAAAGATAATGAAAGTGAGGAAGTCACAGAGCGATTAACTTTATCACACACAGCTAGTTAGTTGTAGAGCCATGGTATGAATCTGAATCTACAAAATTCCAATTCTCTAAATTTTTTTCTAAGTTGTTTTATGTTTAAGCTATAGTTCTTAGTAATATATTTATATTGTGTTAATTTTTAACACAGCAGTATACTATCTTTTTATGTGTTATTGTTAATAAAATTATATGGCCTTCAAAAAATGTTTAAATATTTTTCAAAGCTTTTTTATATATATACATATAATCATTAAATTTATTTGTGATTTATGTGGCACAAAGACAGGAAAGTATATATATGACAACAGGTAAAAGAATAACAAATCTAAAAATATAATAATGGCAAGAAATTAAACGAATTTCAGAGGATATCATTTTATATTTAAAAAATCAAGAATTAAAGTTTTACAGTATAGAAAAAGAAAGACATGTAATACAAAAGCTGATGAATAGGAAGATGGTTGATAGAAAAAATAAAAACGATGTTGAAAAATAAAAATAATGTCAGAAATAAAATACCATTGTAAATTAACAATTAGAGCAACACCAGTATTATCTTAACGTAATGAAATTGTATAATTTCGTAAAATGAAAAAAATTATAGTACCCAGTTTCAACAAAGGGAGAGGAGAGCAAGCTTGTTAACATTTGCAAAAGTACAGGAGGAAACAATAAATAGATAAAAATAGTCATATTAATGAATGATTATGGAGAGAAGATACCAGAAAGCCAACAAAGATATGATTGGTGTTCTTGATGTAGGAATCAGAAAAGGAAAAAAAGAAGCAACATTCATTCTTATTTCTTTCAGCCTTAGGAACAAGTTAATTTGAAAATGTAAAGATAACTATATAAAAAGATAAAGAAATACCAAAGTCAGTATAATACTAAGTAGGTCAACATTTAGATATATGTTGGCAATTTCAAGCAGAAAAAGAAAATGAAAAACCTATGTAAGAAAAATGAGGACAGATTCAGATGTATTGTACCACATAAAATGACAGAAGAAAATGAAATAATCTCTTAATTCGTTAAGAGAATTAAGGAGGAAACAATTGTGACAAAAGACATATTAGCCAGCAAAGATTTTTCACATATAAAGATAAAAAGCACATCAAAACAAGTATTTTTTAATGTTTAAGGCAATAATGCATGCATGAAGCAAAAAACGAGTGATCATAAAAACACATAACATTTAAATAATCTTTTGAGAAACATAACAATGTGCAATGGGATGCACATCAAGATAAACAATTCCAAAACAAGAAAGCCAAACACAGAAAGTGTCACAGTTGACGCTGAGACTGTTGAAACATAAAATAAAACTACTTTTTGCAAGAACAGCTAGAAAATACAACATATTAATAACTATTAATGAAGAATATGTGACATAAAAGGTAAAACAAAATTAAGAAGTGTCTAAAATCCTAGACTATTCCAAAAAAATGGTAAAGATGTTAAAGTTTCATATTTGAGATGAACTAATTTATTCATAATATACACGTACACAAACATATGTATGTGGAAGTCAATACTATTTCATGCTTTGAGCTTATAATTAGATAAATATGTAAAATATGTCATTGCTATTTTTGTTTTTAATAAAAATTTAACAAGTAGAATAATTAGAAAGAGAATGCATAGCTTAACAAAGAGTAGTGAAACAAACCAAAATTACAAAAACTCTAAAAAACAGGGGAGGGAGATATATTTCATCAAATAAAAGACAGGGAAAGAAAAAAACCAAAAGAAAGCAAAATATAGAAAAAAAAGAATTACAGTTCTGAATACTAAGTTCTTCATTAAGAGAAAGTGATCCTCAAATTTAATAAAAACCAAATATATTTATTTGAATTCTATAAGAAGTGCAATCAAAACCACATTATAAAATGGACACAAACATTTTAAGTATTATGATTTGTTAAAAACAATAGTGGCAAAATATAAAATAAATTTTTTTCGTCTTTTTTTACATGAAACATATAAAAAAAAGACATCTATACCTAATTCTTGATAATTAAGTAATCAAAAATAAGTATTCTGAAATCAAATATTATAATTTTAATGTTGTATTGATTTAATTAAGATGTGTCTTAATTGATATAATATAATGTATTGATTTAATTAAGATGTGTCTAAATCCATAATAGGAAAATAAAAATCTTAAATTTTCCCCTCCAAAGTTATACCATATATTGTATTACTAGGTCATTTATTAGGGCAAAACTTTCTTGTATATATATATTATTATCAGTTATTCTGTGGTATAGAAATATATACCTCTAGATATTTAACCAAAATTTTAAACAATAAAAGAATTCTTGAAAAATTAACCTTTAAGCCATTTATTCTAAATAAATTGAATTTTTGAGCAAAGACATATGTAAAATGAGTACTGCTATATTATTTTTAGTATAGAAACATGACATGCCCTATGCTGTAAAATTGCTTAATAATAACCTACTATAGATAGAAGAATTGCCATGGCATATCTATACCTTATTATATTGTACATGTTATATACACATTTAAATATAAATGTTTTCTAAAATAAGATTATATTTAAGTTTACTAAGTATAAATATTTATTTACTTTGGAGATACGTAAGGTTTCAACTGATTATTTTAACTGCCTTTTGGGGGCTTTTAACATTCCATCATTCTTAGAGAAAAGTTCTTTCTGATGGCAGTCTCTAAGGTAATGTAATATAAATAAAAATTATTTGTAGAATGCAACAACAGAAACATTTCTTAAAGAGTTTTCTTAAATACTAGACCTCGTTTTGCTTATATTATCTGTATAAGTTCTTCAGAACTTTCAGATCTCAAGTAAATTAAGTGCTGAAGTCAAATAAAACTGGCTCCATAATGATAACACTCAGATATCAAGTACAGATTGCCTGCCCCCAAAGTCTGTGTTTTACATATTTAACCATGAATTTGAAATTGTTATTATCAAAAGGTTTATTTTAATAGCTATCTCTGCCTATTTGTATTTTCTCTATTTACATATCTTTATTTTTAATTGACAAATACAATTTATATATATTTATGGGGTACAACATATACCTTAATAGATGTATATGTTGTGAAATGGCTAAATCAAGCTATTTAATGTATACATTATGTCATATATTTTTGTGGTATGAACACTTGACATCTACACTTTCAGCAATTTCCAAGAATACAATATATTGTTATTAACTGCAGTCACCATGAAGTACAATACATCACTTGAACTTGTTCCTCCTGTCTAACTGAAATGTGTCCTCTAAGCAACATCTCCCCAGTTCTTCCAGCCCCCAGCCTTTGGCAACAAGCATTTTACTCTCTGTTTCTATGAGTTTTATGTTTTTAGATTCCACTTAAACCTCTTCCATTAAAGAGATAATATAATATTTGGCTTTCTGTGCCTAGCTTATGTTTAAAAAATATCTTGAGTTTTTAAATTTGATTTAAACAAGTATTAAGCATACTCCCAACATTCTGATAATTCCTTCACCTTCTTTTAAAGTTGAATTTTCATGCTCTATGGAATAGTTACTTTGTGACTGTCTATTCCCACTCTTTTCTCTCTAGTTTTATATACCTTTTCCTATGTTGTCTATGACCTACTTAAGAAAACAAATGATTCCATTGTACTACTAGGTTCGTAAAGTGTTTTAGTCATTTAAAGAAGCTTTTAGTGAATACCTACTATATGTCACATATACTGAAGGTGCAAAAATAGGTCAAACATGGATTTGCTCTTAAGGAAATCACATATATGTCATCATTTATATTTAACATTCCTGTTTTAAATTGCAAATCATTGCCAGTAGGTCTATAACAGAAGTCCAGGCATCCAGCTGTGGTAGCATAGAAATAGAGGAATTAATAACTCCTTTGGACAAAATCAGCAAGAAATTCAGGTAAAGCTGCACTAAGAAAACATCTAATAAAAATTTTAAAGAACATTTTAGATCTAACAAATGGCCATGTGGAAAGATAAAAGTGTACAGAAAAGAGGGAGAGAAGAGAGAACTAATATTTATTTAAGGCCTATGATGTGTAAGACACTATGCTAAGTGCTTTACATGGGTTATTATCTGACAATAGGTAAGTAGTTTGACTTTTATTGTTTTAAGCAGGGGAGTGATATTATCCAATACGTATTTTATAAGGATTAGTCTTGATGTTGTAATGTAGAGGGTAAGTATGCAACCAGGAAAACCAGTTACAGGCTATCACATATTTCAGGGGAGAGATGATGACAGCCTGAACAAGGATGACAATAATGGAAACAGAGACAAAAGGACAGAGGTGGTATGTGTGCACATATTACATTTGCATATTTAATGTAAAGTAGAAAGAACTTGATGATGGATTTATTGTAGTAAGAATTAGGAAAAGGCATAAATCAAGGCTGCATCTTAGTATTTGTTTTTGCAACTGTGGGTATATTACTAATTACCGAGAGGAGAAGCACAAAAGAATTAAACAATCTGAGGGGACACAATGGACAGGGGAGAATGAGAAGACAGGAGACATTAATAGCTCTATTTTGGACATGTTTAGTTTGAGATGACTATTTGGGTATCTGTGTAAGATGAAAAGGAAGCTGTAGACAAGTAAAGGACTTGGAATACTTCGGGAGAGAATTTAGAACTGGCAAGAGATAGCATAGAAGAAGGCAAAAGTTGGGCCAGGTGAAGTGGCTCATGCTTATAATCCCAGCACTTTGGGAGGCCAAGGCAGGAGGATTGCTTGAGCCCAGGAGTTTGTGACCAGCCACAGCAACCTAGCAAGACCCCCACTGCTACATTTTTGTTTTAAATTAGCCAGGTGGGGTGCTACATGCCTTTGGTTCCAGCTGCGTGGGAGGCTGAGGAGGTAGAATTGCTTGAGCCCAGGAGGTTGAGGCTGCGGTGAGCCATTGTTGTGTTGTTGCACTCTAGCCTGGGCAACAGCTAGATCCTGCCTCAAAAAAAAATAAAAGATAAAAGAAGACAAAAATCAAGGGAGTGATGTATCACAAGAGGACAGTGTTTAAAGAGAAAATGATCAAGAATGTTGTTTACTGCTGAGTGAATGGGAACAACATAATAGGAGCCATAACTATTCCTGTGCAAATCTGTCCCATCTTTACGGGGTGGTTTCCTAATTTCAGTCTTCGATACATGATGCAGAATGAAGGCAACAGATATTCCAGACAGCTGTTTTAAGTTCTGTGCTCTTTCCACACTTAATCACTATACCTTTTCAGCATTTTATTCTGGGCTTTGAAATTGTTAGATTTTCTGGACTTTGAAAATGTTGGATTTTTGGTGTTGAGATGAAATATTAAATGTGCTTGTATTATCTAAACTTATTGCCAGAAAGCAATTTGCTCAGGTGAACATTCTGCATTATCACAGTATACATGAATAGGTGAATGAATAAAAGAATGAAGGAATGGATAAATAAATGAATTTTGAATAAAATTCAAAAGGCTTAAATGCTTCATATGTAAAATCAATAGTAGCAGGAGACAGACAAATCCTAGGCAGACAGGGGCAGGTCCCCAGTGAAACCCAACCTTCAAGCTGAAGACAATTTGAAGCCTGGCTACAAGTCCCGGATAAGTCCACGGACTGGATTGAGAACCTCTCTTCCCATTTGGTGCACTTTCCTCTGATTGATCTCCATCCTTCACCTATTTTACAAATACCCACTCTTCTCTAATTGGTTTTTTACACTGTCATGCCCACCTTTAAGAGGTGCCTTTCTTTTAACCTTTTTTGGCATACTCACAAACTATTCAGCATGCACTCCCCCATTCTGAGTCCATAAAAGCCCCAGATTCAGCCACATGTTGGGACTACCTGCATTTGGGTGGTGGGAGGACTACCTGCCTTTGGGTGATGGACCACCCCATTTCGAGTCCCCTCTATGCTGAGAGCTGTTCTGTCCCTCAATAAAACTCTTCTCTGTACTTGTCACCCTTCAGTTGTCAGCATAACCTCATTCTTCTTGGACACGGGACAAGAATTCAGGATGCACCAAATGCAGGTATAAGAAAGAATGTAACACTGTGGCCCTTTGCCCTCCATTAGCGCTGGGCAGCCATCCCACACAACAAGAAGCAGCAGTGGGGCTGGGTCAGCCCCAGAGCCATGGGCCTGAGCGAGGCAGAAGAACTGAACAATCTGTAACACAGCTGGGCAAGGGTACACCTGGCCTAGCTGCAGGCTGAGCACGGGATCTGGCTGGGGTGCATGCCAAGTGCAGCCCACATGGCTGAATGGTCCAGGTACCTCCACCCAGGAGCCCAGGACCAAGCAGAGCCCAGGTGGGGGTGTTGCCAGCTGCAGAGGTCTCTGGCTGGCAAAGCAGCACTAAAAAAAATCATATGTCAAAATAATTTAATGCTTAAACTGTTACTATGATATTCTTAGTTTTTGTATAAAGAAGAATGGAATATAGAAGGTTAGAGGTTCACCTCCACAGAAATAGTAAGCTGAAGAAGCAGAATTTAAGCTCAGATTTTCTAACTTGAAATGTTGTAATACACTGTAACTATCTCAACAGTAGCAAACAAAGCCACAAATTTATGAAAATTCTGCTGCTATTTCAATAAGTTTAAAAATAAATGTTTTGACAATTTAAAAATGAATTAAGTTAAAGCTATTGTTAAATAAAACGTAAATGGAAGACACAACTTCACATTTAAAGAGTGAAACAACAATATTTGTAAACTGAAACAAGGTAAAACCTATATAAAAAAATGCTTACAAAATTTCCAGAAGAGACTTACTGGCATTGTAGAGATAGATATAAATTTCTGAATAAAATTCTTTGCAGTTATTTTATTAACCCTTCTATTAGTAACATTTCTAATAAATAATTTTGTTGTGGGAAGTCAGGGACCCCAAACAGAGGGACCCGCTGGAGCTGCAGCAGAGGAACATAAATTGTGAAGATTTCATTTTAATATGGACATATATCAGTTCCCAAAATTAATACTTTTATAATTTCGTATGCTTTTCTTACTTTAATCTCTTAATCCTGCTATCTTCGTAAGCTGAGGATGTACATCACCTCAGGTCCACTGTGATGATGGCGTTAACTGTACAAATTGATTGTAAAACGTGTGTTTGAACAATACAAAATCAGTGCACCTTGAAAAAGAACAGAATAACAGCAATTTTTAGGGAACAAGGGAAGACAGCCATAAGGTCTTACTGCCTGCGGGGTCAGGCAGAATACAGCCATATTTTTCTTCTTGCAGAGAGCCTATAAATGGACGTGCAAGTAGGAGAGATATCGCTAAATTCTTTTCCTAGCAAGGAATATTAATAATTAAGACCCTGGGAAAGGAATGCATTCCTGGGGGGAGGTCTATAAACCACCACTCTGGAAGTGTCTGTCTTATGTGGTTGAGATAGGGACTCAAATACGCCCTGGTCTCCTGCAGTACCCTCAGGCTTATTAGGGTTTGGAAGAAACCCCACCCTGGTGAATTTGAGGTCAGACTGGTTCTCTGCTCTTGAACCCTGTTTTCTGTTGTTTAAGATGTTTATCAAGACAATATGTGCACAGCTGAACATAGACCCTTATCAGGAGTTTTTGACTTTGCCATTTGCCTTGTGATCTTTATTGGCCTCAGAAGCATGTGATCTTTGTTCTCCTTTTTACCCTTTGAGGCATGTGATCTTTGTGACCTACTCCCTGTTAGTACAGCCCCTCCCCTTTTTTAGTCCTTAATAAAAACCTGCTGGTTTTGCAGCTCAGGTGGGCATCATGATCCTACCAATATGCGATGTCACCCCAGGAGGCCCAGCTGTAAAATTCCTCTCTTTGTACTCTTTCTCTTTATTTCTCAGACCGGCCGACACTTAGGGATAATAGAAAGAACCTATGTTGAAATATTGGGGATGGGTTCTCACGATATAATTTGTTAATATTTAGTGAAAAAAGTTTTGTGGAAAGATACACCTGAGAAAATGCTGCAGAGAGAGGAAGTATTTATGAACTGGTACTTTAAGGATCTAATAGAAAAAATAGAGAAAAGATTAGGAACTTCAGCAAACACGTCAGCAGTGTATTTGACTATTTCACAGTATAGTTCAGCTTTGTCAGAGTTTATGGAAAAAGATAACAAATGCAAAAGTCAAGTCATGAAAAATAAAGTTTTGCTGCCTCCACAATGCTCCCCTAAAAGCTGCAGACTTGTTTAGAATAAGTTGATTATAAAGGACAGATATCAACTTGGCATGCAGAATTTTAGGATATTTTAATGAACACTAAATATTTACCAGCACCAAGGAATTAGTAAAGATAGTGAGATAACACAAATCCAAAGAAAGGAATAGTCTATGCTAAAAATAACATAAATTTAGCATTATAATGTATTCATTGATTCCTTACAAATTCAGTTTCCTCATATTACAGTAACAACCATATTCCATAATAATCCGATAATATTGCAATTATTTTATTAACCTTTCTATTGGTAACATTTCTAATAAATAAATAATAGTATTATCCCATAATAATCAGGACCATTAGTCGGGGAGAAAAAAAGTATGCTTTTCTTCAGTGGCCATCAGGGGCATGTATCTTCCTCTTGAAAACTCTTTATACATTGGGAAATGTGGCCAATGCTTCTATAAAACAACTCTGAGAGCTTCAACTGCTTTGCTCACCTTGGAGTCAAGGATACAACTTAAGCCTACTCATAATTCCCAATGTCAAGAATCTACATGCTACGTTCAGTCAACATAGCTAAATATAACCTAAGCTGCTCTATTAGGCTTTGGTTCTCTTGGTTGTAGCCTGTACCCAAAATGATAGTGCTCTGATATTAAACTGAATCTTTCACAATTTTAAACACACATGCACACACACACGTGTGCATGCACATCTCAATCTTGTGCTTAATTCATTTGTATTGAACTAAATATTATTTGTCATATCACAGCATTTTACTTTTTATTTTGTTTCAAACCCTTTTTTTTGCAACTCAAAAATAAAACAAATTTATTGACTAATTTTATACATATTTGTTTAGTGATCACCTTTTGGGGGTCCGAAAATATCCTGAGATTTTACCTTCTTATTCTTTTAAAATAAATAGTGCTTACTCTAAAAAAATGTGAAGACTAAATTTTTCTTCTCTGAAATATATGCTTATTCTTGTTTATGTAGTCTTGGACAGTTGGAAATCAATGCTTCTATTACAAAATATAGGAAATGAAAAGGAGAAGTTGTAGGAAAGAGATTAATCATGTCTTAGATATGCTAAATAAATAAGTATATACAAGGGATATAAAGTAAATGTTGTCTTGTTGGTGGTTACAGATGTAGGGCTGGAAATTGGGAGATATTTAAAGGCTTTTGGTATACAAGTGAGTTACAAACATGTATGTAGTAGTTGAAATGGGTTTACTGAGAAAAAATGAGCCACTGATAATATATTGAAGACTTTTTATTTTTGTGGAATGAAAGTATGTAAACATCTAGAGAAACAGGAAGGCTTTGAGATTTTGAAAACAAAGTAAGACACTAAGGGGCAAAGAATAAGAAATAGCAAGTAGTCCACACCTTAAAATATTAATATAGTAAAAGAGGAAAGTAGTTATTATCCATGAGTAGCGTAGCATTTATTATGTGCCTAGTATGAGGCATACACTATTCTAACCTCTGGGAGTATGAAAAAGTTTAATTTTTGGCCTTTTACCTTCATGAATTTAAAGATTAAGAGAAAAAAACAGACCACATACCGTAACTATAATACAATTTGGTGAGAGCTTAAATAGAAGCTGCTTTACAGGTGCATTTGGAAAAGAACTATGACAGAGACCAGCCTTTCTTTTTCCAGGAACAGAGACCAACTCCGTTTCCCGATCCCTTTGCAATCTGCATTGAACCATGAGTCAAGTTCTTGATAAAGGAGTGAAAATGGTAAGTCTAAAGCAATGAAAAGCTGCTGTATTGACTACACATGCCTTCATTTCTTCTACCCTGCTTCTTTCATGCCTGCTTATCTGAATGACACCAGGATGACATTTAAGGCACATCTGAAGATGGGGAAACCACAGCACAGAATAAGGCTGGGCCCTTGAATCAATAAATGAAGGAGAACTACTCAAGAGAACAAAACCACCAGCAATATCCACCTGTATTTGTCTTTTCATAAGTGAGTAAAAAAGTATTAATACATCATTGGGATTCAAGATTTCAGTTGTTAATGATAGCACAGCATAGCTCATCCTAGATGAGATTTTAATGTTGGAAAAAGGTTACTGGATCTGGAGAGTATTGGATCAGAAAGCATTGAGTGAATAGTTTTCATAGGTTTTAAAGAATATATTTGTTTAGATTGTTCAATATATGCATTTCTATAAATGTGTATTAGGGATGTCAATGTGGTTAAAGTAGAAAAATACTTTTAAAATCCTGCTGTGGAACAAAGAAGGGAGATAACTTGGAAAATTGGTGGGGAACAGGGAAATTCAAAAGGAATGGCAGAAGCATGGGCATACAGGGAATGTAATATGGTCATTTTTATAGTTGAGGGGAAAGCAGTATCATATAGCAGGTGTTCTATGTCTCTTTGCTGAATACATGAAAATAAGTAAAATCAATAAAAGGAAATGGATTTATATCAAGTACTACGATCCAAGTGGTGAAATCAATTAAGATGAAAGTAAGCTATGATTGAAAAGACAGCAATAAACAAGATGAAGAATGGCATTGAATTGCCTAAAAAGATTCTGAGAGAACTTTTCTAGGAAAAATGACAAAAAGGAAGTTGTTAGTACATGTTCGCAGAATAAAGGTCTGGACTAGAAGCATCAGTAAAAAAGCAAAGAACATGTTGGTCTTCTCTTTCATTCCTGTGAACATTAAAGAAAAGTAAAAAAAAAATAAACTTTTTCTGGGTTGATCCCAAGAAAAAATAATGTTATCAAGATATGATGAATGATATGGTTTGGCTGTATCCGCACCCAAATGTCATCTTGAACTGTAGCTCCTGTAATTCCCATGTGTCATGAGAGGGACTCAGTGAGAGGTTATTGAATCATGGGGCAGGTCTTTCCTGTGGTGTTCTTGCGATAGTGAATATGTCTCGAGAGACCTGATGGTTTTATAAAGGGGAGTTCCCCTTCACATGCTCTCTTGCCTTCCGCCATTAAGATGTGACTTTGCTCCTCATTCGCCTTCTGCCATGATTTTGAGGACTCCCCCACCATGTGGAACTGTGAGTCAATGAATCTCCTTCCTGTATAAATTACCCAGTCTCTTGTATGTCTTTATTAAAAGCATGAGAACAGACTAATACAGTCAATTTTGACACATGTGAAAAGATAAAAAGAGTTTTATGTATAAAAATGAAATATGGTGGAATGATGGGTTTATGGTGGAATTTGCAAAGAGTATGGTGGCAGTTGACAAACTGCACTGAGTTAGATAGGGATAGTGATATAAGAAAGTATAGCATATAATTTTTTTTAATTATACTTGAAGTTCTAGGGTACATGTGCACAATGTGCAGGTTTGTTACATATGTATACATGTGGCATGTTGGTATGCTGCGCCGATTAACTTGTCATTTACATTAGGTATATCTCCTAATGCTATTCATCCCCCCTCCCCCGACCCCATGACAGCACCCGGTGTGTGGTGTTCCCCAACCTGTATCCAAGTGTTCTCATTGTTCAATTCCCACCACATGTGAGAACATGCTGTGTTTGGTTTTCTGCCATTGTGATAGTTTGCTCAGAATGATGGTTTCCAGCTTCATCCATGTCCCTACAAAGGGCGTGAACTCATTCTTTTTTATGGCTGCATAGTATTCTGTGGTGTATATGTGCCACATTTTCTTAATCCAGTCTATCATTGATCGACATTTGGGTTGGTTCCAAGTCTTTGCTATTGTGAATAGTGCCGCAATAAACATACATGTGCATGTGTCTTTATAGCAGCATTATTTATAACCCTTTGGGTATATACCCAGTTATGCATTGGCTGGGTCAAATGGTATTTCTAGTTCTAGATCCTTGAGGAATCACCACACTGTCTTCCACAATGGTTGAACTTGTTTACACTCCCACCAACAGTGTAAAAGCGTTCCTATTTCTCCACATCCTCTCCAGCACCTGTTGTTTCCTGACTTTTTAATGATCACCATTCTAACTGGTGTGAGATGGTATCTCATTGTGGTTTTGATTTGCATTTCTCTGATGGCCAGTGATGATGAGCATTTTTTCATGTGTCTTTTGGCTGCATAAATGTCTTCTTTTGAGAAGTGTCTGTTCATATCCTTTGCCCACTTGTTGATGGGGTTGTTTGATTTTTTTCTTGTAAATTTGTTTAAATTCTTTGTAGATTCTGGATATTAGCCCTTTGTCAGATGGGTAGATTGTGAAAATTTTCTCCCATTCTGTAGGTTGCCTGTTCACTCTGATGGTAGTTTCTTTTGCTGTGCAGAAGCTCTTTAGTTTAATTAGATCCCATTTGTCAATTTTGGCTTTTGTTGCCATTGCTTTTGGTGTTTTAGACATGAAGTCCTTGCCCATGCCTATGTCCTGAATGGTATTGCCTAGGTTTCCTTCCAGGGTTTTTATGGTTTTAGGTCTGACATTTAAGTATTTAATCCATCTTGAATTAATTTTTGTATAAGATGTAAGGAAGGGATCCAGTTTCAGCTTTCTACATATGGCTAGCCAGTTTTCCCAGCACCATTGATTAAATAGGGAATCCTTTCCCCACTTCTTGTTTTTTGGCAGGATTGTCAAAGATCAGATGGTTGTAGATGTGTGGTATTATTTCTGAGGCCTCTGTTCTGTTCCATTGGTCTATATCTCTGTTTTGGTACCAGTACCATGCTGTTTTGGTTACTGTAGCCTTGTAGTATAGTTTGAATTCAGGTAGCGTGATGCTCCAGCTTTGTTCTTTTGGCTTAGCATTGTCTGGGCAATGAGGGCTCTTTTTTGGTTCCATATAAACTTTAAATTAGTTTTTTCCAATTCTGTGAAGAAAGTCATTGGTAGCTTGATGGGGATGGCATTGAATCTATAAACTACTTTGGGCAGTATGGCCATTTTCACAATATTGATTCTTCCTATCCATAAGCATGGAATGTTCTTCCATTTGTTTGTGTCCTCTTTTATTTCCTTGAGCAGTGGTTTGTAATTCTCCTTAAAGAGGTCCTTCACATCCCTTGTTAGTTGGATTCCTAGGTATTTTATTCTCTTTGAAGCAGTTGTGAATGGGAATTCACTCATGATTTGGCTGTTTGTCTGTTATTGGTGTGTAGGAATGCTTGTGATTTTTGCACATTGATTTTGTATCCTGAGACTTTGCTGAAGTTGCTTACCAGCTTAAGGAGATTTTGGGCTGAGACGATGGGTTTTCTAGGTATACAATCATGTCATCTGCAAACAGGGACAATCTGACTTCCTCTTTTCCTAACTGAATACCCTTTATTTCTTTCTCCTGCCTGATTGCCCTGGCCAGAACTTCCAACACTATGTTTAATAGTAGTGGTGAGAGAGGGCATCCCTGTCTTGTGCCAGTTTTCAAAGGGAATGCTTCCAGTTTTTGCCCATTCAGTGTGATATTGGCTGTGGGTTCGTCATAAATAGCTCTTATTATTTTGAGATACATCCCATCAATACCTAATTTATTCAGAGTTTTTAGCATGAAGGGCTGTTGAATTTTGTCGAAGGCATCTTTTCAGCATCTGTTGAGATAGTCATGTCGTTTTTGTCATTGGTTCTGTTTATATGCTGGATTATGTTTATTGATTTGCATATGTTGCACAGCCTTGCATCCCAGGGATGAAGCCCACTTGGTCATGGTGGATAAGCTTTTTGATGTGCTGCTGGATTCGGTTTGCCTGTATTTTATTGAGGATTTGTGTATTGATATTCATCAGGAATATTGGTCTAAAATTCCCTTTTTTGTTGTGTCTCTGCCAGGCTTTGGTATCAGGATGATGCTGGCCTCATAAAATGAGTCAGGGAAGATTTGCTATTTTTCTATTGAATGGAATAGTTTCAGAAGGAATGGTACCAGCTCCTCTTTGTACCTCTGGTAGAATTTGGCTGTGAATCCATCTGGTCCTGGACTTTTTTTGGTTGGGAGGCTCTTAATTATTGCCTCTATTTCAGAGCCTGTTATTGGTCTACTCAGGGATTCAACTTCTTCCTGGTTTAGTCTTGGGAGGGTGTATGTGTCCAGGAATTTATCCATTTTTTCTAGATTTTCTAGTTTATTTGCATAGAGGTGTTTATAGTATTCTCTGTTGGTAGTTTGTGTCTCTGTGGGATTGGTAGTGATATCCCCTTTATCTTTTTTTTTATTGTTTCTATTTGATTCTTCTCTCTTTTCTTATTAGTTTTGCTAGTGGTCTATCAATTTTGTTGATCTTTTCAAAAAACCAGCTCCTGGATTCATTGATTCTTTGAAGGGTTTTTTTGTCTCTATCTCTCAGTTCTGCTCTGATCTTAGTTATTTCTTGCCTTCTGCTAGCTTTTGAATGTGTTTGCTCTTTCTTCTCTAGTTCTTTTAATTGTGATGTTAAAGTGTCAATTTTAGATCTTTCCTGCTTTCTCTTGTGGGCATTTAGTGCTATAAATTTCCCTCTACACACTTCTTTGAATGTGTCCCAGAGATTCTGGTATGTTCTGTCTTTGTTCTCATTGGTTTCAAAGAACATTCTTATTTCTGCCTTTATTTCGTTATATAGTCATTTAGGAGCAGGTTGTTCAGTTTCCATGTAGTTGAGCAGTTTTGAGTGAGTTTCCTAATCCTGAGTTCCAGTTTGATTGCACTGTGGTCTGAGAGACAGTTTGTTATAATTTCTGTTCTTTTACATTTGCTGAGGAGTGCTTTACTTCCAACTATGTGGTCAATTTTGGAATAAGGGCGATGTGGTACTGAGAAGAATGTATATTCTGTTGATTTGGGGTGGAGAGTTCTGAAGATGTCTATTTGGTCCGCTTGATGCAGAGCTGAGTTCAATTCCTGGATATCCTTGCTAACTTTCTGTCTCGTGGATCTGTCTTATGTTGACAGTGTGGTGTTAAAGTCTCCCATTATTATTGTGTGGGAGTCTAAGTCTCTTTGTAGGTCTCTAAGGACTTGCTTTATGAATCTGGGTGCTCCTGTATTGGATGCGTATATATTTAGGATAGTTAGCTCTTCTTGTTGAATTGATCCCTTTACCATTATGTAATGGCCTTCTTTGTCTCTTCTGATCTTTGTTGGTTTAAAGTCTGTTTTATCAGAGACTAGAATTGCAATCCCTACTTTTTTTTATTTTCCATTTGCTTGGTAGATCTTTCTCCATCCCTTTATTTTGAGCCTATGTGTGTCTCTGCACGTGAGATGGGTCTCCTTAATACAGCACATTGGTGGGTCTTGACTCTATCCAATTTGCCAGTCTGTCTTTTAATTGGAGCATTTAGCCCATTTACATTTAAGGTTAATATTGTTATGTGTGAATTTGATCCTGTCATTATGATGTTAGCTGGTTATTTTGCTTGTTAGTTGATGCCGTTTCTTCTTAGCCTCAATGGTCTTTACAATTTGGCATGCTTTTGCAGTGGCTGGTACCGGTTGTTCTTTTCCATGTTTAGTGCTTCCTTCAGGAGCTCTTGTAAGGCAGGCCTGGTGGTGACAAAATCTCTCAGCATTTGCTTGTTTGTAAAAGATTTTATTTCTCCTTCACTTATGAAGCTTAGTTTGGCTGGATATGAAATTCCAGATTGAAAATTCTTTTCTTTAAGAATGTTGAATATTGGCCCCCACTCTCTTCTGGCTTGTAGAGTTTCTGCTGAGATATCAGCTGTTAGTCTGATGGGCTTCCCTATGTGGGTAACCTGACCTTTCTCTCTGGCTGCCCTTACCATTTTTTCCTTCATTTCAACTTTGGTGAATCTGACAATTACATGTCTTGGAGTTGCTCTTTTTGAGGAGTATCTTTGTGGTGTTCTCTGTATTTCCTGAATTTGAATGTTGTTCTGCCTTGCTAGGTTGGGGAAGTTTTCCTGGATAATATCCTGAAGAGTGTTTTCCAACTTAGTTCCATTCTGCCTGTCACTTTCAGGTACACCAATAAGATGTAGATTTGGTCTTTTCACATATTCCCATATTTCTTGGAGGTTTTGTTCCTCTCCTTTTACTCTTTTTTTCTCTAAACTTCTCTTCTTGCTTCATTTCATTTATTTGATCTTCAATCACTGATATCCTTTCTTCCAGTTGATCGAATCGGCTACTGAGGCTTGGGCATACATCACGTAGTTCTTGCGCCATGGTTTTCAGCTCCATCAGGTCATTTAAGGTCTTCTCTACGCTGTTTATTCTAGTTAGCCATTTGTCCAATCTTTTTTCAAGATTTTTAGCTTCTTTGTGATGGGCTCGAACATCCTCCTGTAGCTCAGAGAAGTTTGTTATTACCAATCTTTTGAAGCCTTCTTCTCTCAACTTGTCAAAGTCATTCTCTGTCCAGCTTTGTTCCATTGCTGGTGAGAAGCTGCATTCCTCTGGAGGAGAAGAGGTGCTCTGATTTTAGAATTTTCAGCTTTTCTGCTCTGATTTCTCCCCATGTTTGTGGTTTTATCTACATTTGGTCTTTGATGAAGGTGACGTACAGATGGGGTTTTGGTGTGGATGTCCTTTCTGTTTGTTAGTTTTCCTTCTAACCATCAGGACCCTCAGCTGCAGGTCTGTTGGAGTTTGCTGGAGGTCCACTCCAGACCCTGTTTGCCTGGGTCTCACCAGCGGAGGCTGCAGAACCACAAATATTGTGGAACGGCAAATGCTGCTGCCTGATCGTTCCTCTGGAAGCTTTGTCTCAGAGGGGCGCCCGGTCATATAAGGTGTCAGTTGGCCCCTACTGGGAAGTGCCTCCCAGTTAGGCTACTCGGAGGTCAGGGACCCATTTGAGGAGGCAGTCTGTCCATTCTCAGATCTCAGACTCCATGTTGGGACAACCACTATGCTCATCAAAGCTGTCAGACAGGGACGTTTAACTCTGCAGAAGTTTCTGCTGCCTTTTGTTCGGCTATGCCCTGCCCCCAGAGGTGGAGTCTACAAAGGCAGGCAGGCCTCCCTGAGCTGTGGTGGGTTCCACCTTGTTCGAGCTTCCTGGCCGCTTTGTTTACGTACTCAAGCCTCAGCAATGGCGGGCACCCCACCCCCAGCCTCCCTGCTGCCTTGCAGTTAGTTCTCAGACTGCTCTGCTAGCAGTGAGCAAGGCTCCATGGGTCTGGGACCCTCCGAGCCAGGCGTATGATATAAACTCCTGGTGTGCTGTTTGCTAAGACTGTTGGAAAAGCACAGTATTATGGTGGGAGTGACCCAATTTTCCAGGTGCCATCTGTTATGGCTTCCCTTGGCTAGGAAAAGGAATTCCCAGACCCCTTGTGCTTCCTGGATGAGGCGATGCCTCTCCCTGCTTCGGCTCATGGTCTGTGGGCTGCACACACTGTCCTGCACCCACTGTCCAACAAGCCCCAGTGAGATGAACTTGGTACTTCAGTTGGAAATGCAGAAATCACCTGTCTTCTGCGTTGTTCATGCTGGGAGCTGTAAACTGGAGCTGTTCCTATTCAGCCATCTTGAAACCTCCCCTCAGTATAGCATATAATTTTAAAAGAAAAAGTAATGTTTTTTTCTTGCTCTTCTTTTTTCGCTGGTTCCATTCCTTTCTGTCACTCTGTCCACTGCTGTTTGACAAACTACTGATTCAAATGCCTGGCTAAGATACAAATCATATGCAACAGATAACAGGCAGGGCAGAATGTGGGTAACAGAAATGAAGGCAGCAAGAGGAGAGGGGCAAAGTTATATAGGAATATGTTTAGACCTCTGGGGCTCTTTTATGATGTTTTAGTTTTACTAAAATAAGCTTGGAACTTTGAAGCAGTATATGAACACCAGGTACTGTTTATAATGTTAAGACAGCTACATTTATCTGCTCTACTTTGGCACAGTGTAAAATCTAAATTACTATGGGAAGAAGAAAAACAGGAAAAGATGTGTTAATCCTGTTTTTTTAACACATTATTTGGCATTATCTTTGAGAAGATGTTTGGCCTCTTCTGCTTAGTTTCGTCATTTGGAAGCTCATTACCTTACTGATTGTCACCTAGCAATATTGAACTAAAGTTCCAGTGTCAAAAGAGAACGTATATTGGAAGATTTATTTTGAGAATTTAGATGACTTTCTGCACCAAACATGAATTTAAGCAATATAAATAACACAATCCATAAATCTTGTAAACAAAAAAAAAATTGTACAGCTCTTTTTAAAGTATGAAAAAAAAAAGAAACAAAAACTGCTCCTGTGGCAGCTTCTGCCAGTGCACATAGACATAACTATGACTGCCACACAGGTGCAGGTGCATTCCAGGAGTGAGGGGGAGAGGCCAAGTCCTCATATCTGTTGAATTTACCACCCCCCTTAGACTTTCTGAGAGAGCTTTTCTAGGGAAAATGATAAAATGGAGCTGTTAAAGGATAAAGTTGATTTTTTTACAAAGTAATCTAGTAAAGGAGACTAAAGCCCAGGGTTACTGACCCCATGTCTAGGGCACAACAGGGAAAATGAAATCTAATAATGGAAATCTAAGACATCATTTGCAAACCTGAAATCAATCTATAAGGTCAAAATCAATGCTCTTCCCTAAAAACATTCATGAATATTTGTTATTCTTTTAAGTTATTGATGTTTGATAGGGAGTAACAATGGGTAGTTTTAAACTCAATTTATTTTTCTAGAGTTCGTTTCAAAGGAAGACACAAGACTCTACTAGGGAAGAGAAGCTGAGCAAGTGGTAACTTAAAAACTGTAAAATTCCTTCTCCATGGATAATTAACATTGTTTTGCTCTTCTGACCTTAGAAAATACTACATAATAAAAATATTAGGCATTAAAATGTATATATTACATTAACTTAGCCAGGTGATCAAGATTAACATCAGTGGTCATAAGTCTTGTTAAAAGTATGTGCCCTTGGTATGATGTGATGAAAATGGCACCTACTTCTGTGGTCATCCCCCCAAGAACTTATAGCCTCCATCTAATCATGACAAATGTGCCAAGAAAATTCTGTCATTCTGCAAAACGCCAGACCAATATTACTCAAAAATGTCAAGATAATCAAAAACAAGGACAGACAGAGAAAATTTCACAGCTAGGGGAAACCTAATGATAATTACTACTGCAATGTGGTATCCTAGATGGGATCTTAGAACAGAAAACGGACGTCAGGTAAAAGTTAAGAATTTCTGAATAAAATATGAACTTTAGTTCATGATAATATATTAATATTAGTTCATTAATTTTAAAAAAATGTACAATAGTAATCTAAGATATTTATAATGAAGAAACCAGGTGTAGGGTATGTGGATTCTCTATACTGTTTCCTCAATTTTTTAGTAAATCTAAAACTGTTCTAATAAAGTATCTTCTTAAAACATTATGCTTAATTTATAGGTAGAGTTTAATGAATAAGAATAAAATTAAAACCATATGCCATTGTCTGACTTAACATAGAAATATAACTATTAACCTTGGAGTCTCCTATGTGCACTTCTCTACTAATTTTTCTCTAAGTATTCCATTTTTAAAAATTTTCTTTATGATTAAAACAAGTTATCTAAAAAAATACTTTATTGTTTTATTTTAATAATTTTAAAGCCTGGTGCAGTGGCCCAAACCTGTAATCCCAGCAATTTGGGAAGTGGAGGTAGGAGAATCACTTGAGTCCAGAAGTTGGAGACCAGCCTGGGCATCATGGCAAAACCCCATCTCTACTAACAACACAAAAATTAGCTGGGCATGGCAGCACTCCTATAGTCCCAGCTACCTGGGAGGCTGAGGTGGGAGGATTGCTTGAGACCAGGAAGTCAAGGCTGTGGTGAGCTGTGATCGTACCACTGCACTCCAGCCTGGGTGAGGGGAGTGAAATACTGTCTCAAAAACAACACAAAAAATTATATCAAATTATATATTTGCTTTTTTGTTCAATAGTGTACATTTAAGGTATTCATGTTGATTTAACTAGCTATAGCTTACAGTTTTTTAAAATAAAATTGTTAATTTTAACCCTATTTCTTTCTGGTTTGTACGTTTTGTCATTTTTTTTTAAGTATGTTTCTTTCCATGGAAGAGAAAATACTTTATATTTTTCACTCCAAGTGTGTGTGTGTGTGTGTATATATAGTGTGTGTGTATACACATAGGTATATATAGGTATATATATACCTAGATGTGTATATATAGGTATATATATACCTAGATGTGTATATATACATATATATGTGTATATACACATATAGGTATATATGTGTGTTTATATATTTGCACAGACACATAAACCTAAGAACATTTTTTTATTTAAAATTGTTTTATTTTCTTTTTCTTGCTGTTTGTATATTTATTTATTTATTTTATTGTTTTTTGAGACGGAGTCTCACTCTGTCACCCAGACTGGAGTGCAATGGCATGTCTCAGCTCACTGCAACCTCCACCTTCCGGGTTCAAGGGATTCTCCTGCCTCAGCCTCCAGAGTAGCTGAGATTGCAGGTGTGCACCACCACACCCGGCTAATTTTTGTATTTTTAGTAGAGATGGAGTTTCACCATATTGGCCACACTGGTCCTGAACTTCTGACCTCGAGTGATCCGCCCACCTGGGACTCCCAAAGCGCTGGGATTACAGAGATGAGCCACTGCTTCCAGCCTCTTTTTATTTTTAATTTAATGTTTTTTTCTGTATACCATATGGACCCAATTTTATTAAGAGTTATAGAAATTTAAAAAATCAACTTGGAGATATTCTGTAAAAAAAATTAAAACATTACTATGTAGATCAATAAAAATCTTCCTATGTTGCATGTGAGAGTATAATTGGCACAATACATTGATAAACTGTTTGAAAATATCTATAAAATTTACTTACATGCATACTGTAAATGCAGCAATCCCACTCCTATGTATATACCTAACAGGTATACATTCTATTCATCTAAAGATAGACACAAGAATGTTCACAGAAATCTTATTCTTAAAACTCCAATGCTGTAAATAACTCAGTGATCATTCACCACAGAATTAATAATTTGTGTTATATTCATACAATGAAAAACTACAAAATAATAATGAACAAACCACAACTTTGCAATGTGGGTGTATCTTGCAAAGGCATTTTTGGGCTAAAGAAACCATATATAAAATAAATATTTCCATGTGATTTCACTTGCATATACATTTATATATTTTATATATTACAGAGAGAATTCAAAATAGACAAAACTAAGCCCTGGTGTTACTGATTACAGGGTTTCTGCCCAGAAGGAGGCATGAAGTATCCGTCTGGAAGTGCTAGCAATGTTCTGTTTCATGATATAGGTTATGGTTACATGTATGTGTTCAGTTTGTAAAAATTCATTGAGTTGCACAACTATGATTTTTCACTTTCTATATAGTCTTCTATTCTTCAATTAAAAGTTTACTACAGATCTTAATAGTTATATGATGAGAAATGAATTTTTCTTTGATTCATTGTATTTTGCTGTATTTTTCTAATTATTTATGGTAATAAGTATTCCCTTTTTATGAGAGCTTTACTGAAATATAACTTACATAAGAAAAAATCAACTCCTTTTAAGGGTACAATCCAAGATATAGAACATGTTCATTTCCCCAACATTTCACAGTGTCCTTTTGCAAACATTCCCCTGGCCCACTGTGGTCTGATCTCTGATTGCTTTTTGTTGCTACAGTTTTGCCTTTTCTAAAAATTCCGCATAAACGAAAGTTTTTTGTGTCTGGCTTCTTTTACCTAGCATGATATTTTCAAGATCATGTTGCTGTGTGTATCAGTAGTTCTTTCCTCTCTAATGCTGGGTTGAATTCCATTGTATAAATATTGCATAATTTGTTGCCTATTCAGCAGCCAAAGAACTTTTGGATTGTTTTATTTTCTTTGATCTTGTGAATAAAGCTTCCAGGAGCATTTCAATACACTTTTTTTTTCCTTTGGGGCAGAAAACTAGGAGCAGATTTCTTAACTTTGCGATAAGCACATATTTAATTTTATAAGAAATTGTCAAGCTATCTCCACAATGGCTATAGCATTTGGAATTTTGTTTTGTTTTACTTTTTACTTTGTTTTTTTAAATTTATTTTTTACTTTTAAGTTCAGGGATGCAAGTGCAGGTTTGTTACATAGGTAAGCTTCTGCCATGGGGGTTGTTGTACAGGTTATTGCCTCACCCAGGTATTAAGCCTAGTACCCACGAGTTGTTTTTCCTGATCCTCTCCCTCCTCTCATCCCCCACACTCTGAAAAGCCCCAGTGTGTGATGTTCCCCTCTATTTGTCCATGTGTTCTCATCATTTAGCTTTCACTTATAAGTGAGAACATGCAGTATTTGATTTTCTGTTCCTGTGTTAGTTAGCTAAGGATAATGGCCTCAAGCTCCATCCATGTCCCTGCAAAGGACATGATCTTGTCCTTTTTAATGGCTGCATAGTATTCCAAGGTGTATATGTACAACATTTTCCTTATCCTCTCTATCATTGATGAGCATTTAGGTTGATTTCGTGTCCTTGCTATTGTGAATAGTGCTGCAATGAACATACACATGTGTGTGTCTTTATAATAGAATAATTTATATTCCTTTGTGTATATAACCAGTAATGAGATTGCTGGATTGAATGGGATTTGTCTTTAGTTCTTTGAGGAATTGCCACACTGTCTTCTACAATGCTAAACTAATTTACACTTCCACCAACAGTGTATAAGTGTTCCTTTTTCTCCACAACCTTGCCAGCATTTGTTATTTTTTGACTTTTTAATAGTAACCATTCTGACTGGTGTTAGATGGTATCTCATTGTGGTTTTGATTTGCATTTCTGTAATGATCAATGATGTTGAGTTTTTTTTCATGTGATTGTTGGCCAAGTGTATTTCTTCTTTTGAAAACTCTCTGTTCATGTCCTTTGCCCACTCTTATTGTTTTTGTTTTGACAGGGTCTCACTCAGTCACCCAGGTTGGAATGCAGTGGCGTGATCTGGGCTCACTGCAGCCTCCACCTCCTGGGCTCAAGCAATCCTCAGCTTCCCAAGCAGCTGGGACCACAGGCACACACCACTATGCCCGGCTAAGTTTTTATATTTTTTTGGTAGAGATGGGGTTTCTCCAGGTTGCCCAGGCTGGTCTTGAACTCCTAAGTTCAAGTGATCTGCTCACCTCAGCCTCTCAAAGTGCTGGGATTACAGGCATGAATCACCGTGCCCAGCCTTTTGGCCCACTTTTTAATAGGTTGCTTTTTTTCTTTTAAATTTGTTAAAGTTCCTTATAGATGCTACATATTAGACCTTTGTTGAATGCACAGTTTGCAAAAATTTTCTCCCATTCTGTCAGTTGTCTGTATACTCTGTTGATGGTTTCTTTTGCTGTGCAGAAGCTCTTTAGTTTAGTTAGATCCCATTTGCTAATTTTTACTTTTGTTGCAATTACTTTTGGTGTCTTCCTCATAAAATCTTTGCCTGTGCTTATGTCCTGAATGGTATTGCCTAGGTTGTCTTCTATGTTTTTATAGCTTGGGATTTTACATTTAAGTCTTTCATCCATCTTGAGTTAATTTTTGTATATGGTATAAGGAAGGGGTTCAGTTTCAATCTTCTGCATATAGCTACCCAATTAGCCCAGTACCATTTATTGAATAGGGAATCTTTTTCTCACTGCTTGTTTTTGTCAGCTTTGTCGAAAATCAGATAGTTGTAGGTGTGTGGTCTTATTTCTGGGTTCCCTATTATGTTCCACTGGTCTATGTGTCTGTTTTTGTACCAGGACCATGCTGTCTTGGATACTGTAGCCCGGTAGTATAGTTTAAAATCAGGTAACATGATGTCTCCAGCTTTGCTCTTTTTGCTTAGGATTGCCTTGCTTTTCAGACTATTTTTTGGTTCCATATGAATTTTAAAATAGTTTTTTCTAGTTTGTAAAGATTGTCAATGGTACTTTAATAGGAATAACATTGACATTATAAGTTTCTTTGGGCAGAATGGCCATTTTAGTGATATTGATTCTTCTTATCTATGAGCACGGAATGTTTTTCTGTTTGTTTCTGCCATATCTGATTTCTTTGGGAAGTGGTTCTCCTTGTACAGATCTTTCACCTCCCTAGTCGGTTGTGTTCCTAGGCATGTTATTCTTTTCATGCCAATTGTAAATGTGATTGTATTCCTGATTTGGCTCTCAGCTTGAATATTATTGGTATATAGCTAATGCTAGCGATTTTTGCACATTGATTTTGTATCCTGAGACTTTGCTGAAGTTGCTTATCAGCTTAAGGAGCTTTTGGGCTGAGACACTGGATTTTTCTAGATATAGGATCATGTAATCTGCAAACAGTGATAGTTTGACTTCTTTTCTTCCTATTTGGATGCCATTTATTTTTTTCTCTTGACTGACTGCTCTTGCCAGACCTTCCAATTCTATGTTGGATAGGAGTGGTGAGAGAGGGCATCCTTTTCTTGTGCCACTTTTCAAGGGAAATGCTTCAAGCTTTTGCCCATTCAGTGTGATGCTGGCTGTGGTTTTGTCATATATAGCTCTTACTATTTTGAAGTTTGTTCCTTCAATACCTAATTTATTGAGAGTTTTTAAGATGGAATGACATTGAATTTTATCAAAAAGCCTTGTCTGCATCTATTGAGATAATCATGTGTGATATTTTCCTATTTGGCTAATCATTTTATCATTATACAGTGTCCCTCTTTGCCTTTTTTTACTGTTGTTGCTTTAAAATCTGTTTTTTCTAATATAAGAATAGCTACTCCTACTCACTTTTGGTTTCCATTTGCATGGAATGTCTTTTCCCACCTCTTTCCCTTAAGTTTATGTGAGTCCTTATGTATTAGGTGAGTCTCTTAAAGACAGCAGATACGTGGTTGGCGGATTTTCATTCATTCTGCTATTCTGTATCTTTTAAGTGGAGCATTCAGGCCATTTACATTCAATGTTAGTATTGAGATGTGAGGTACTGTTCTATTCATCATGTTAGCTGTTGCCTAAAAACTTTGTTTTTTCCATTGTGCTATTGTTTTACAGACCTCGTTAGATTTATGCTTTAAGGAGGTTCTGTTTCAGTGTATTTCAAGGTTTTGTTTCAAGATTTAGAATTCCTTTTAGCATTTCTTGTAATGCTGGTTTGGTAGTGCCGAATTCTCTCAGCATTTTTTGTCATCTCTCCTTCATTTATGAAGCTTAGTTTTTGCTGGATACAAAATTCTTGGCTGACAATTATTTTGTTTAAGAAGGCTAAAGATAGGACCTCAATCTCTTCTGGCTTGTAAGGTTTCTGCTGAGAAATCAGCTGTTAATCTGATAGGTTTTTCCTTATAGCTTACCTAATGCTTTTGTCTCACAGTTGTTAAGATTCTTTTCTTTGACTTTAGTAACCCAATGACTATGTGTCTACTAATGATCTTTTTGTAATGAATTTTACAGGAGTTCTTTGAGTTTGTTGTATTTAGATGTATACATCTCTAGCAAGGCCAGGAAATTTTCCTCAGTTATTCCTGCGAAAAAGTTTTCCAACTTTCAGATTTCTCTTCTTCCTCAGGAACACCAATTATTCTTTGTTTTGATAATTTAACATAATCCCAAATTTCTTGCAGGCTTTAGTCATTCTTTAAAATTCTTTTTTTTTTAATCTGGCAATTCAGATATTTCTTCTCAGTTTAGATCCATTGCTGGGGAGCTAGTGTGATCTTTTGGAGGTGTTATAGAACCCTGTTTTGTCACATAACCAGAATGGTTTTTCTGGTTCTTTTCCATTTGAGTAGACTATTTCTTAAAATTAGAACTACATTTTAATAGTAGGTCTGTTACTATTGATTGGCAAGCTATCTTGATGATATTCAAACTCTACCTGGGCATAGGTTTATGTCTTAATTCTCTATTCAGTTGCATGGGTTTATTTCTATATTCCTGTTTCACTATCACACTGCATTAATTAGTATACAGCTATAATAAATATAATATTGGGTAATGCAATCTTCTCCAATTGTTATTCCACTGCAGAATGTGCACCCTTGAAAATTTATGTTGAAACTTAGATCCTTTTGGGAAGTGATTAAATCATGAGGGTTCCCAAAACTATGAAAACCCTGGAAGACAACCTAGGCAATATCATACTGGACATAGCATGGGCAAACTGGTTTTTTGAGGTGGAATCTACTCCTGGTAAAGATATTGTAAACATGGATGAAATAACCAAAAACAACTCAGAATGTTATGTAAACTTAGTTGATAGAGTAGTTGCATGGTTTAAGAGTATTGACTGCAATTTTAAAAGTTTTCCTGTGGGTAAAATGCTATCAGACAACATCACATGCTACAGAGAAATATTTTATAAAAGGAATAGTCAAGATGCAGCAAACTTTACTTTTGTCTTATTTTAAGAAGCTATCACAGCCACCCAAACTTCGTCAACCAGCACCCTGATCAGTCAGCAGGCACCAGCATGGAGGAAAGACCTTCCACCAGCAAAAAGATTATGACTCCCTGAAGGCTCAGATGATTGTTAGCATTTTTAGTAATTAAGTATTTTTAAATTAAGATATGTACATTGTTCTTTTTAGACATTATGTTTTTGCTACTTAATAAACTACAGTGTAGTGTAAAGATAACTTCAATGCACTGAGAAACCAAAATTTTTGTGTGTCTCACTTTATTGCAATATTTGCTTTATTGTGATGGCCTAGAATGGAATGTGCAATTTCTCCAAGGTATGCCTGTATACTCAGAAGTGGGATTGCTGGACCCTATAATAGTTCTATTTTTAACAATTTAGGAAATGTTCATATGATTTTCTATAATGGCTGCACCAATTTACACTCTCATCAACAGTGTGCAGGTGTTCCCTTTTGTTCATATCATCATCAACTTTTTTTATCTTTAGACTTTCTTAAGTCTAAAGGTGTAAGGTTATATCTCATTGTGGTTTTGATTTGCGTTTCCCTGATGAGTTGTCTGTCAAGCATGTTTTCATATACCTGTTGGTCATGTGAATGTCTTCTTTGGAAAACTGTCTATCCAGGTCCTTTGCTCATGTTTTAATCTGGCTAAAATATTTATCCATTCTTAAGCATCCATCTCAAGTACACTTCTGCTGTAAAGGTCATCTCACTACCTAATATTACTCTACAACATATTTACCTCCATAACTGTATGTTTTCTATTTTGTCTTGTATATAAGTCTGTGTCAATGCTAGATAGACTCTTGAAGATAAGACTCATGGTCATACCCCTCAAAACTCTTTCTGAAAAAAGATGAGTAATAAGTCTTGTTATTTATCTTTGTATCTCACTTCCTTACACCTAGCATAACAAAGGGCCTCAGAAAATGTTGATTGATTTAAATGATATAATTCTACATATTGGAAGAAATTTCTATACCCTTGCAAAGAGAGCAAGAGAATGCATATAGCCTTAAGTTATAAATGACAACCAAGTGACTGGAGATTTTTGGAGTAAATGACCCACTAATCTTGGTTTCTTTTGAGCATATTTCATTTTCATTCTTTCCTTGGTGTTTACTTTTCAAACCATATCAAATGCCACATACTTAGGATGGAGTTGAGTTTTCTGTATTTGAATATTTTATTAGGCATCTTAAAGAATAAATTCAGTACAATGCCATGTCTCCCATTGGAATTGAGGTCTTTTGAGTAGGCAAATGGCTAATTTCATTTCTAACCATTGCTTTGTTGTGGTCTTTTTCTTTTCTAGAATTGAGATATCTGTCTATCTCAGTTTTAACTCACAAAATTTGCAACTTATGGGTAATTTATTAGGATAGATTTAGTTGTACAGCAACTAAATATTGAGTGTTTGGTTTGGGGACATTCTAATAGAGCTGGTCTATTATGGTGCTTTTTGATGAAGATATTAGACTTAATAAAGTTTCCTTCAGCTACATCTGTTAAGTTCCTTTTAACAGGAAAACCATTCATTAGTATTTTAAAGCTTTTATAGTTTTCTTTGTGTGTTTGGAAAGTGTCTGAAACATTCTAACACTAACAAAAAATTGAAGTTATGCAGTAATTCCAGGAATATTACAGTTTGTCTTGTTCCACGTGTACTATTTTTATCCTCCTTTCAACTAATCTTAAATGTGTTAAGCCCTTTTCCTTAATAAATTTTGATTTTTAAAGCAATCATATATGAATTATTATCATATTAAGACTTCCAGCTAGCCAAAAACAATGACTATCTAGGTCTCTATCTTCAATTATTTTCCCCACAAATATAGAACAATGAGGAGAAAAAAGTAAAACTACAGGAAAACCTCAGCATAATTTCAAGACAAGAAATGCCCAAATGTCAAATTATCTAAAAGTATAAAAGGAGAAAAAAATGCCAAGTTATGGCACATGAACTCTAGTGCTCCTACTCTATGAAGCAAAGGCAGGTAAGAAAACTGCATGGAATGGAGAAATATGCAGGAAACAACAGGGCCTAATTTTAATGTAAAACCACAGTCAGAAAGAATAATTGATCCTAAGTCTAAAAATACTATAGAAGTTTCAGGGAAGACCAGGAAATAGATAAAGGGAAAGGACTTACTAGTATATTTAATTTGAATAAAACTTTGTAGCTTCTGGAGGAGGAAAAAAATGAAAAAGGAGAATTAGAAGCAACTTTTGGCAATTAGGTGGTTAAGGGAAAAATTTATGGTGCTAAAGACAAAAAATAACTAAAAATTCAAGAGACATGACTTCTCTATCCACCATAAAAACTAACAAACAAAAAATTTAGTATATGTCTTGATTTTGCTGTGTTTACAGAGTAATGACTTTCCAAAAGAGACTAGACTAAAATAAAAATTTATTAAGCAACACTGAAGTAAGGCAGGAATCAATCAAGCTAAAAAAAATAAGATACAGACATAAAAAGTTTCAAAAATAAGGTAATAAAAATGGAAGACAATAAAGAATCACAGTTTTATTGAAAAAGAAAAGCAATAGAAAAAATACTTAAAACTTTAATATAATAAACTGTCAGAGTTAAAATATTTTACTCTACATATTTGAAAGGTTCATCAAGTACTTGGAAAAATAAAACCAAAATGAACAAAGAAATATAGTAAAAATATTAGTTTAATAAAATATTCGACATTATTTCCAGGCCAAAAAAAAAAGTCAAATAACTTCAAAAACAACAGAAAAAACTTATAATGGCAAAGGATTAATGAAAAACAATATGCACAATAAGACAGAAGTGGAAAGTATTTTTTAACTTAATAAAAGTAGATCTGAATAAAGTAATTTATATGCAATTATACTTTCCATCAAATATCAAGGTTATTGTGAGGAAAAAAAGCAGTTTTCAGAATACTTAGAGAATTCCATTTCATCCATGTACCCATCTTAAGGTATCTACTAAATAATTAGTTTCATCACCTATAAGATGACTGAGAAAAATCCAGCAATAGGATGGTGGTAAGTGTGTATATATGACTAATCAAAATTGGGACAAGGATGGAATTTATTTGTTCTGACCAATCTTACATAATTATAACAACAAAATAATGACAATAAGGAATTATAACTCATAAAATAAGTGTCAATTAGTCCATACTTACATAAATAATTGAATGAATATATAAATGAATAGATACAAGAATAAATAATCATAGCAAGAAATAGTTATTCCTCAAAGTAGACTTCCAATTCAGAAGTGTAGAAGAATTGATGGAATGAGAAAATCACCATCAGCCAAATACCACAGTAATAATATTCCAGGCAGAAATAATGAATGGAATCTAACATTAATGAGTACAGAAATATTGAAAACCAGGATATTTGCATCACCTTAAAATATCTCCACATAAAATATTTATTAAATACAAAGAAAAAAATAGTAGCATTATAATGAAGAATCACATAACTCCTGATACAATATACTTCAAAAGACACCACGTAGCTTCTTTGGTTATGTTTTTCTAAAAATGCATAACATTGGTTAAGCCATCAAACATCAAAATATCAAACTGAAATTGAAAGACATTCTACAAAATAATATGCCAGTTATTTTTAAAAGTATCAAGGCCATGAAAGATAAAACAAGACTGAGAAACTATAAAGGACTGAAAAAGACTAAGAAGTAATGATGATACAGTACATTGTAAGAGCCGGGATAGGATCTAAGTCCAACAGTATAACAGTAGTGGAACAACTGGCAAAATTCACATAACGTCCACAGGTTAGTTAATAGTATTCTATCAATGTTAATTTCCAAGTTTTGATAATTGTATATATCATGGTATGTAGTGTTTTAAAAGTAATGAACTGGCTGAAGAATATATGGGGATTCTGTATTATTTCAAAAATTTTCAGTAAATATAAATTATTTCAAAACAAGAAGTTCTAGATTTGCTATTTCCTAATGACTAATAATATTGAGCATCTTTACATATATTTATTGGACATTTGTATATCTTCTCCAGAGAATGTCTATATAAATCCTTTGCCCCATGTTAAAATAGGATTGTTTACCTTTTTATCTATATCCTAATAAGAAAGTTTTTTTCATTTGTTTGTTTTACTGTGGCAATACCATTGAAGAGCATTTCACTATTAGGTAATTTTCGCTTTTAAATTTTTCATTATAATATTTCCACTATGTAAATGTCATTGAATTTTGCACTGCAGGTAGATAAAATGTAGTTTTACCAACAAAATTCCTTGAAGAAGTTATGAAAATTGCTCTAAATTAACATACTGGCCCACTTGAAAAATAGGCACATGATTCAAAAAGTTGAAATACCAACAATAGTAGCAAATCTATGTAGGAGAACACTGCTTGGATATGTCTATGAAGATATCTAGAACTTGGGACCTTCTTTAAAGTTCTTCTGCAAAGCTAAAGTTCCCCTAAATGTTTGTATAGGGGATGGAAGGACCTAACCTGACCTATTCTCTCTTCTGGTCCTGAAAGACAAAAACTGGACCAAATCTATATGACTGTAATAGAGAAGAATGTTTCTGTGTCCCAGCAAAGTATCTAGAAAAGTAGACCAGAAGATAGCATGGTTACTTGTTTACCAAATCTTACTAATTGAAGTCATTCTTCCTTCCTTGTGAAGTTACTAAGGATGGTTAGGAGTTAGAACAAGCACATTCAAGAAGACATAGTGTATATTTTATCCATTAGCACCAACCTGAGAAGGAAAAGGGAATTTCTTACCTGTAACTAAACTGGTCATATATCCTGGTTTATAACTGTATGCCTTATATTATGTCAGATGATCCCTCTTTCTCTCAAAATTTGGACAATAAATAATATGGTTACACTACCCATATATTAATATAATAATAAATAAAATGTTACCATATGTTCTTCTGGATTTTTTTTTCTTCAAGTGGATCAGCCACTTTTCACTTTATCTGGAGCTTAGTGAGTTTGGATTAAAGTTAATCAGGGTAAATTATTAACCAATATGACAGAAAAGATTTTTGCTGAGAAAAACTATTTGCCTGAAAATAGGTGTTTTTCTTCTTTTCTCTCCACAACATAACATCTAGCCCGTAGTTTGTTCCCACATATCAGAAAGCATTGTTGGTTCCATCAACAGAATAGGACACTGAAAAATTTAGATAGTTAACGTATACATGAGAAACATTGGAGTGCAAGAAGGCTGAAGTAGACTTGGAATATTGGCCATAGCTAAGGTGACCCTAAAGTGCCAAGAAAGAGGAAACTCAACAACCACATTAGGAAAAACAGTCTATCTGGGATGCTTCTCATGCTGCCAGATGGTATTTGGTATAGGACACTCTTACTGACTCAGGGAATGTATCCTTTATATTTGCCCACCTACAAAGATTCATAGTCATTGTGGAGTTTACCTTTCCTTCCCTCCTTCCTTTCTCTTTCTTTCTTTCTTTCTTTCTTTCTTTCTTTCTTTCTTTCTTTCTTTCTTTCTTTTCTTTTTCTTTTCCTTCCTTCCTTTCTTTTTCTTTTTTCTCTTCCTTCCTTCTCTATGTCTCTCTCCCCCTCCCTCTCTCTCTTTCTCTCTTTCTTTTTTCTTTCTTTCCTCTCTCCTTTCCTTCCTTCCTTCCTTCTTCCCTCCCTCCCTCTCTCTCTTCTTTCTTTCTTTCTTTTTTTCTTTTTCTTTTCCTTCCTTCCTTCCTTTCTTCTTTCTTTCTCTTTCTTTTTCTCTTCCTTCCTTCCTTCCTTCCTTCTTCCTTCCTTCTTTCTCTATATCTCTCTCCCCCTCCCTCTCTCTCTTTCTCTCTTTCTTTTTTCTTTCTTTCCTCTCTCCTTTCCTTCCTTCCTTCCTTCCTTCCTTCCTTCCTTCCTTCTTCCCTCCCTCCCTCTCTTCTTTCTTTCTTCTTTCTTTCTTTCTTTCCTTTCTTCTTTCTTTCTTTCTTCTTTCCTTTTTCACTCTGCCTGGATGAACAGACTTTTGAAGGGCTTTTCCAAAAAAAACCAGTCAGCAGAACTGGAATAACTACCTATAACTACCTAATTCTTCAAATGCACAGACATCAATGTACAGCTACAAGGATCAAGAACAATCAAGGAAACATGCCATGACCAAAGGGATAGAATAACATGCCAGTGACCAGCATGAAAGAAATGAAGATATATGAACTGTTTGACAATCCATTATAACGTTTTAAGAAGGGTTAATGGACTTCAATAAAATTCAGAGAAACGATTTAACAGAATAAGGAAACAATAAGTGACCTGAATGAGAAATGTGGAAAACATCCTAAACCTGGAGAAAGATGTAAATATCTAGGTACAGGAAAGTCAAAGTTACCAAAACAGATTCAATCCAAATAAAACTAAACTGAGTCAAACTGACAAAAAACAAAGAGAGAATACTGAAAGCAACAAGATAAAAGAAGCAAATAACATATGTAGGAGTTCCAGCAATGCAGATGCTGCTAGAGGACATTATCTGAAGTGAATTAATGCAGAAACTGAAAACCAATTATCTTATGTTCTCACTTATAAGTGGGAGTTAAATTTTGAGTACATGTTGGCATAAAACAGGAATAGTAGACACTAGGGATTCCAAAAGGAGGAAGGGGAAAGGGCTGAAAAACCTCCTATTGGGAGGTTCAGTATCTGGGTGATAGGCTCAACAGAAGCCCAAACCTCAGCATCACACTATATACTCTTGTAACAATCCTGCACTTGTACCCAGGCTGTACAGCACAAAAAGAAATACGATCCACTTGGAAGAAAGAGAAGGAAGTGAACACAGAACTTTGCTTTAGACTCCAATAAAAGTTGAATTTAAAAAAATAAGCAAAGGACCTGAATAGAAATTTCTCAAAAGAAGATATACAATGAACAGTGAGTATATGAAAAAGTAGTCAATATTACTAATCACTTAAAAATTCAAATTGGAACCACAACACAGTAGCACCTCATATTTGTTAAAAAGGCTATTATCAAAAAGACAAAAGATGACAATGGCTCATGAAGATGTGGAGAAAAGGGAACCCATGTACACTATTGGTGGGGATGCAAATTAGTAAAACTATTATGAAAAATAGTTTGGAGTTTCCTCGAAAAATTAAAAAGTGAAAAAACCATTTGATCCTGAAATCTCACTACTCAATATATATACAAAGGAAATAAAATCAGTACATCACAGAGATATCTGCATTTCTCTGTTTATTGCAGCACTGTTGAAAATAACCGATATGGAATTAACCTGGGTTCATCAGCAGATGAGTGGATAAATAATATGTGGCTTGTCTAAAAAATTGAATACTGTTCAGTCATAAAATGCCACTACATGGGTAAAACTGGAGGACATTATTTAAGTGAAATAAGCCAGGTACAGAAAGACAAATATTGCCTAATCCCACTTCTACGTGGAATCTTCAAAAGTTGATCTCACAGAAGTACAGAGTAGGGCTAGGCACAGTGGCTCATGCCTGTAATCCCAGCACTTTGGGAAGCTGAAGCAGGAAGATCACTTGAGCCCAGGAGTTCAAGAACTGCCTGGGCAATATAGCAAGAAAAGAAGAAGAAAAGAGCAGGAGAATGAGAAGAAAATAGAGAGGAGAATAATAGTAGTTACCAGGGGGCTGTGCAAGTTGTGAAGGGGTTGGGAAGATGTTGGTTGGTCGGTAGATGGGAGGAATATATTCAAGAGATTCATTGTATAGCATGGTGACTAGAATTAATAATGATAAATTGTATTCCTAAAAATGCTAAGAGAGTGGATATTAAATTTGCTTACCATAAAAATGATGACTATGTTAGGTAATTTATATATTAATTAGCCAGATTTAACCATTCCACAATCTGTATGTACTTCAAGACATCATGTTTGCATGATGAATATATACAATTTTATCTATCAATTGAAAATATAATTTTAAAAAGAAAATGTTCTTCAAAAGGCCCCAAATATTATAGAAACTAAAGCAGATTTGTGGCTTTCAAAAGCTTGAGAGGGTATGTGTCTGGGTTGGGACATAGGGAGTAACTGGTAATGGGTATGAGATTTTATCTGGCGTGTTCTAAAATAGATTGTAGTGATGGTTATAAATCTCTGTGAATACACTAAAAGTCCTTGAACTATACTTTTTAAATGAGAAAATGTTATGAGATATAAATTATACCTCAATAAAGCTATTAAGAATATATCATGGCTGGGCGCAATGGCTCACACCTGTAATCCCAGCACTTTGGGAGGATGAGATGGGCCGATCATGAGGTCAGGAGATAGAGAACATCCTGGCCAACATGGTGAAACCCTGTCTCTACTAAAAATACAAAAATTAGCTGGGTGTGGCAGCGCGTGCCTGTAATCCCAGCTACTTGGGAGGCAAGGGCAGGAGAATCGTTTGAACCCGGGAGGCAGAGGTTGCAGTGAGCTGAGATTGTGCCACTGCACTCCAGCCTAGCGACAGAGCTAGACCTCTGTCTCAAAAAGAAAAAAATAATAATATATCATAACACACATATTGCGATGTTGCTATTAAACATAATTTGCACCAGTACCATTGCATAGAATCATAACCATGCCTAAACTGTAAAACAGTGTATTATATATAATTTATAAGCATTCATGTGATTAAAAAAACGTAAAAAATTGTAAACTTTATGTAGGTTTTAAAAGTCATGGTGGCATACAATGGATGTGTAACAATTCTTTGCTACCATTTAGGTGAATATTTCAGTTGATTACACCTTTGTGCTTGGTGATTTTAGTAATTTTTCTCAAGAAATAGAACCCATTCAACATTGAATATACACAGCTAGCCTCTAATACATAGATTAGCCATTCATTTTGTATCTTTGGTTTCATTGTAGGTAATTTCCTGTCTATATGAGTGTAGAAAATTAACACTCAATTTTAATCCTGTTGCAAACTTCAAATCATGGTGGAAGGTGGAATTTTTAAGGGAGCATATCCATATTAAAATGTATCAACACTGTAAAATAGTCTGAGTTGAATTGTGGCTCAGCAGGATTACCAGACTTAAAATTTGTCAATTTATATTTCCTCTGCTAAAAATGTCAATGTTAAGTTTGTAAAATTTGAGAGTAGAACAATAAGGGGTAATGTTATATGTTGTAAGTGCCTTCTGAAAAAATACATACTCTTCTTTTCACCTTTACCATGTAGTCTGTGATTAGCATATCTATCTATAATAATCAGAGCCATTTGTTTCAAAGGCAACAATGTTGACTGTGGTGAACATATGCCAGTCTGCAGAGATATTAGTTATACTCCATCCATATAGTGTGTAAGATAATACATAATTATTGAGGAACCATTTGGATGAAGAAATAAGTTGCTTGAAGAAAATAGTCATAAAATTCACTTCTAAATTATAAAATAATAATTGAAGGCTGGCCCTTGCATTTGAAAATATTAATATGTTTAAGTCAGCTACGTGCCAGATAAAAATATACCACAGGCCTCCAGAAAAACTCAGCAAGTATTTAGAAAATGGAAGCAACAGCTTACAAGATATCATTTTAATGGGTTTATAAAAGCTCATGTCTCTAAGGGACTTTTTTTGCTCAAGAAAATGTCATGGAGATGTATGTCTCAGACAGTGTTTATGAACAGTATAGTTATTCATAGTTTTCTTTACACAATGCCTATGGTCTGTGTGTCAAACCGCCTGCATGCATTTACGATGGCTTCCTGCCATATAAAATCTGGCTGACTTAATCTCTGTGAACTTGTGTTATGCATAGAGCTTTCATACACCAACTCACTCAGAAGTATCCTTGATGTAAAATAATTTTTATGTAGTTATTCAATTAAAGCTTGTAAGAAGAAAATGTAGATGCTTTTAAATCAGGCATAGGTTGAAAGTAAGCTCATATCTGTAATTAACTCATTAAGCTGCTTGTCCTATTGATAGAATTGAGAAATTGAATTATGAAAAATTTTTTTAAATATAAAATATGTTTATTTGAGTGGAAATGTGTTGATAATTCACCTGAAGTAAAACAGAAAATAAGAGACAGAAACAGCTTGAACCCGGGAGGTGGAGGTTGCAATAAGCCAAGATCAGGCCACTGCACTCCACCCTGGGAGATAGAGCAAGACTCCCTCTCAAAAAAAAAAAAAAAGAGAGACAAACAATGCAGCAGAGAAAACAGTCTAGCATTTTTATGGCTAGGATGTACTTCCAGAGAGTATTATTTGAATAACTTTTCTCCCTGACATTTACAATAAAATAATTTAGCCAAGTAACCTCATTGTTAAGGGGTAGAACCCCTTGGAATCTTAAACAAATTAAATTTTGATACTTCTAACATTTCTTAGACATATAAAAATTTAATATTTATTAGATTTATTTAAATTTCTTCTCATTTTTGCCATCATTAACATTGTAATATATCCTACCTGATTACCATAGTTGTATAGCTTAATACAGACATGTAAAGTCATTGTCACAAAGCCTAACACAGTGAGCTCTGTCTAAACAGTTTTATGTTAATTACTAATGAAATTCACACCTAAGAAAGGCATTTTTTTCAGAAACGAGTTTTGCCTTTGCGTCCTTTCATTTCTCTTATCAGTTTTCTCTCTTCTCTTCCCTACCCCTCAATCAATTTCTCTTGACGATTTCACACTCATTTCAAGATCTCATTGTTAGTCCCCTTTCATCCAGTAAGATTCTTTCCTAAGAAGCTTTCTCATATTGAATATGTCTTATAAATATATATTACATAAAGTACAATGCCTGATGGTGCCTCATCATTCTTACATTATTTTAACAACTCAAGATTTTTGAATTAGAAGACATATCCTTCCATTCACTTTTACAACTTTCATGTAATTATACTTGTCAGAGATTTAACACAGTTGACTACCCATTTCTTCCTATTACACACCATTTTTTTTTTATCTTCACTGGTCACTCCTCTTTAGTCCCCATAGTTTGTTCTCCCTACTTGAGTAAATGTTTAAGTGATGGACTTCTTCAGGTCCTGGTGCTGGATCCTTCTCTATTCTCTTTCTTTAGTCCCTTCTAGGAACTTCTATTTCCAAACCAAAATTTCTAGCCTATCCTAGATAACCCTGAACTCAAGCCTTCCATTGCAAATTTAATATAACTAAAATAAAAAAAATTATTCCTGCAAACTTCCCCTTGTTCAGTTGTCACATCTTTGCCTATAGAACATTTTTAAAATATTACCTTAAAACTAAAATTTTAAAAAGTTAGAATTTTTAAAATGATAACTTTCACCCAAATTCTTGCTAATGAAGTATCTTGACATAATCCCTGCTTCCCTCTTTTTCATTAACTCTTATAAATGTACCTAGACAATCCATTACTGATTTTCTAACTTAATATGTTGAATTATGATAACTGATTTAATCCACTTCAAATTTCTTTGACTTCATTGTTTTCCTTTCATACATTACTTATAGCTAGGGATAACCATATAATTCATATGTGAAAAAAGAGACTTAACCACAAGTCAACTGACTCATACTGACATACTTCTCATTTAAATTAAGTAATGTGGGTGTACTAAATAAAAATTGTTATTATGTAATGGTTAGGTTAGCTATTATATTGAAATCAAACAATTTCATGATCTAAGATATCTATTATTATTCTTATGATTCTCAGTACTATTTCTTCTTTAGTAATACTTCTGTTTAATATTTTCTTAATAGTGTAAAAATCTCAGTTAAATTGCTGCTAACAGTTTACTTTTTTTGGGGAAATGAAGTGATACCCAGATAAATACATTTAAAAGATACAGTTGAAAGGAAAGAAAATCATTTTAAAGGAATAGCCTTCAATGCAATAAAGGTAAATTCAGTTATAGCTAGCATTATTTCTAATATTGTACCATATGGAATCTATTACTCTCAAATACACATATATTTAAAAAGTTATTGATTATCTGTTATGTTCCAAGCACTATTCCTGGCACTTGGGATGTAGCCATAACAAAATACAGAAAAAGTCACTGCCTTTATGGAACTTATATTCTAGAGAATGAGAGAGAAAACACTTTAGTATGTAATATGAAAAGTGGTGATAAGTGAGATGAAGAAGAATGCAAAATCAGGAGATGGAGAGTGATGGTCCAGTCTGAGTGAGTAGTATTTCGTATTCCACACAGAACAAACAAGTAAGAAGTCCTAAAGTTGGAGCATGTTCTGTGTATTTAAAAAACAAAACAAGGAGGTTGATATAGGTAATAAAAAGTATTTTGTAGTCAGAGTAAAAGGACATGAGTTTAGAGAGATAAGAGAGGATCTAGCTCATGTAGTGCCTTGAAGGCCATGGTAACAACTTTGTATTTTAGCCTTAATAAGATGGAAATGCACTGAAGGGTTTTGAGCCTAGAAGTGATGTGACATAATTCAGGGAATTACTCTGAAAGGGAAACCTATAGAAATAATTTCTCTATGGAAGATAGAGACCCTTTAAATACTGGCAGGATAGAGCAAAGGGATTTCTCAGTCAACAATATTGAGTCTTTGTAATACAGTGGTCCTCTATGTAATCTCAGGAAAACTCCAGAATATACAAATATGAGGAAAAGAATCTATTTTACTATAAGTAAAAGTGACAATTATTATCAATACTGTTAGTAACCTGACTTCTTTAGCTTTTGTAATTTCAGTGACCATACAATTGCAACATCTTACCTATATAATGAGTGATTAATCAGTGAGTCTTTGTGTGTGTGTGTTTGTTATGCTACAATAATAATTAGCCTCATATTTTCATTGGCTTATAAAATAGCAAAGTTTATTTCTTACCTATATGGCAGGTCAGATTCTGTAGATTGATTACAGGTCAGATTTGCTCAAATCAAGCAGCCTAGATATGATACATGCTGATCATATAGCATAAGTAAAGTGAAAGGCAAATTATAGAAACATCATGGGTCTTATTACTGCCACTTGGATATTGTGTGTGTTAAAAATAGATAATCAGTACTGTGAAGAAAAGTCAGCACAGAGACAAAGAATCTCTCAGCAAGGCAACCTTTACTTTCTGCAGAAAGGGTGCTGCTCACAGATGCAACAATGGCGAGAGCACACTTGAACAAAGGGAAAGCAGACATATTTATCCCTTACGCATTTGGTTTGTCTTTACTGCTGTGTCCTGCCTCCATTGGCTGGAGCTGGACCTCACAGTCTTAAACTGATACCTGATTTGCTAATAACCTAAAAGTTTTCTAAATAGGTAAGTGCAAGGGAGAACCAAGAAGGAGAGAAAATTGCTTATGAAAGGTTTAAGGAAGCAATAACATTTCCAAGTAAGGAAGAGGCATAAGCTATGAGCTAAGACTTGCCTGGGCCTGTCCAGACATGCCTGGGTAAGACAAAGCAACTAACTGGGCTAAAGTGTAAGAACTAATAGTTGATAGGAGGCTTTAGAGTAAGAAGCTATTATTTCTAGTGTCTATTATTTTATTTTTAAACCAAGACGAGCTTTGAAGGGAACTTTTTTACTTTCTACAGTGTGTGACACATGTGCTCATGGATTATTGTCCGAAGCAAGACATGTGACCAAGCCTA
This sequence comes from Homo sapiens, assembly GCF_000001405.40. Lineage (NCBI taxonomy): Eukaryota > Metazoa > Chordata > Mammalia > Primates > Hominidae > Homo > Homo sapiens. The sequence continues at coordinate 116,286 of NW_013171806.1, forward strand.
ACATCAACTGGGTGAAGAGCTATATGTTCCTTTCTCAAGAGGCACTACAAGTGACATGCCACTGGGCAGGTAAGATCCTCTCAAATGAAGGGACTGTGAATATTTGACTAATAATACAAATATTTACTGGATATTTTACAGTGATATTTACAAATATCACTGGCTAACTTTTCCCAGCTTGATATCCTGAAAGAGGCACAGTTTCAGTAGTAAATGGTAAATTTACCTTGATTGCACTGAAGGCTATTTCTTTAAAACTATTTTCTTTCCTTTTGACTATTCCATGTATCCTTTCAGAAGTAAACATTGTTTTTACCCCTTTAAAAAGTCTACTTATACCATCTACTTAATTTGGAATTTATCTAACATTGCCAGTTTGATATAGATACAGAAATTTAATGAGAAAATGCAGTTCTATATTTAGAATATGGATTCTTCAAGATGTTTCTGACACACATTTGTTTTCATTGAAACATTAAACAATTATTTAGCTAACATCTGAGGAGCACATTGAATTTTGTACAGTTCAACTTTTTTAAAATGAAAGAAATAGTGTTTCTTGTAGAAGGGAGGAATGGAGATTAGCACCAAAGGAAAATTTGACTCATTCTTTGTCTCATTTGGTCTTGAAGGTTAGAGTCTGAATAAGAGAAACTATGTCCAGGAAGTGTATCTTATGAATAAGCAACTAATACATCACATTTTCATGGAAATTATTTTTAAATAATCAGAGTTAGTAAATTCAGTTTTTGTCTGTTTTTTTTTTTTTTTTTTAACCCTAAGGCAAGCTCACAGGCCATACTTAAAGTTGTAAATATAAGCCTTAAAGAGTAAATTTCTAGGCAGAGCATGGCAAGGTAGATGAATGGATTCCATTAATGTCTGTGGAACCAACGGAGTTAAATCCTTTTTTCATTTGTCTCAAAAACGAAGCCCTAAGCAAGCTTTGCAAATGGCAAGAGTAATAACAGTTGAGTCATGAACCTAAGGCTCTTAGTGTTAATGCTCTAATTCATTAAACCAACTGTTTTCCTGATGGAAGTCATTTTCTAAATGGTTTCTAAGCCAAAATGCCTGGCATAATTAAAATTTAAATTTTGGTTATTTTCTTCACTCTCCCCCATTTTTTAAATTCTTTTATTTATTTATTTATTTTTTATTATTATTATACTTTACGTTTTAGGGTACATATGCACAATGTGCAGGTTAGTTACATATGTATACATGTGCCATGCTGGTGTCCTGCACCCATTAACTCATCATTTAGCATTGGGTATATCTCCTAATGCTATCCCTCCCCACTCCCCCAACCCCACAACAGTCCCCAGAGTGTGATGTTTCCCCCCAGTGTCCATGTGATCTCATTGTTCAATTCCCACCTATGAGTGAGAATATGCGGTGTTTGGTTTTTTGTTCTTGCGATAGTTTACTGAGAATGATGATTTTCAATTTCATCCATGTCCCTACAAAGGACATGAACTCATCATTTTTTATGGCTGCATAGTATTCCATGGTGTATATGTGCCACATTTTCTTAGTCTAGTCTATCATTGTTGGACATTTGGGTTGGTCCCAAGTCTTTGCTATTGTGAATAGTGCCGCAATAAACATACATGTGCATGTGTCTTTATAGCAGCATGATTTATAGTCCTTTGGGTATATACCCAGTAATGGGATGGCTGGGTCAAATGGTATTTCTAGTTCTAGATCCCTGAGGAATCACCACACTGACTTCCACAATGGTTGGAACTAGTTTACAGTCCCACCAACAGTGTAAAAGTGTTCCTATTTCTCCACATCCTCTCCAGCACCTGTTGTTTCCTGACTTTTTAATGATCGCCATTCTAACTGGTGTGAGATGGTATCTCATTGTGGTTTTGATTTGCATTTCTCTGATGGCCAGTGATGATGAGCATTTTTTCATGTGTATTTTGGCTGCATAAATGCCTTCTTTTGAGAAGTGTCTGTTCATGTCCTTCGCCCACTTTTTGATGGGGTGGTTTGTTTTTTTCTTGTAAATTTGTTTGAGTTCGTTGTAGATTCTGAATATTAGCCCTTTGTCAGATGAGTAGGTTGCGAAAATTTTCTCCCATTTTGTAGGTTGCCTGTTCACTCTGATGGTAGTTTTTTTTGCTGTGCAGAAGCTCTTTAGTTTAATTAGATCCCATTTGTCAATTTTGGCTTTTGTTGCCATTGCTTTTGGTGTTTTAGACATGAAGTCCTTGCCCATGCCTATGTCCTGAATGGTAATGCCTAGGTTTTCTTCTAGGGTTTTTATGGTTTTAGGTCTAACGTTTAAGTCTTTAATCCATCTTGGATTAATTTTTGTATAAGGTGTAAGGAAGGGATCCAGTTACAGCTTTCTACATATGGCTAGCCAGTTTTCCCAACACCATTTATTAAATACTTTGTATCAAATACAACTCTTCAAAATGTATGACAATTTTCTTATTTGATAATTTTAATTTCATGATTTACAAAATTAAGCTCACTAAATATGAAGAAAATTCACAACTGAATGTATTCTAAATCCTAGGGAAACATTCCCTAAATTGAGTCATTTAATAGTTCTGGAACAGGGATCAGCAAATTTTGGCCTGCAACCAATTTTTTAAAATAACGTTTGTTTACATATTACTATAGCTGCTATTTTTGTGCTACCATGGCAGAGTTGAAGGAAAGGAAAAGAAAGGAAAGCAAATGCTTCCTTCTCCATAGTACTCAGATGCCTGCCAAGGTGCTGGAGCTATGTGACATAGAAAGAATTTAGTAGTTGTTTTTTTTTTTTCTCCTCAGATTCCTACTATCCTATAAAATTGGAACTTTAGTCTTTTTAATGGAAAGATGATTTCATTCTTCCATTCATTTTGATAGGTTTGTCCCAATAACAGGAATATGATTTAAGTCAGCTATAACTGTGTCCACAGTTTTCTTTGTTAATATCACAAATCTCTTGTTTTAGAACATAGGATGAGACAAGACAAGATCTTTTATATGGCTGGTTTGGAAAGTGTCTGCTATGGAGACCCAAATTTTCCCACATTTAAGTACAGAGGTGAATTTGGTGGGGCAGGGGTGGAGTCGGGGGTGGATAGTATCAAACCTAACTTTGACCTTCAGTTCAAACCAAGTTCTTCAATAGACTTCTTCTAGTAATATACACAGAAACTGGTATTTGGATTCCTATTTTTTTTTTTCTAAATCACCCAATTGACTGAGAATTTGGAGATAGGGGAACAGAATTAATATTATGCCCTAACTCCAGCCCCAACCCTCTAACTTTAGCACTCCTGGGGCTGACCAGGAATTTCCCCTGGCCAGGAAAGAAACACATTTACCACCAAATCCAATACGTCAAGTGGACAAAAATTTGTAAATTGAGAGGAGAAGTACTTCTCTCGCTTTAGCACACACTGTTTAGCCCATAAAGTAGAATCATTTTCTTTGTGGAAGCATAGAGAGAACATCTCCCTTCTCTTCACATCTAGCCCAAAGCTTGGTCCCTTCAGACCCTCTTGGCCTTGAGGGCACACTGTGATTGACAAGTGGGAAGAAAGTCAGAATTCCTTTTGTGGCTGCAATAGAAAGATATTCTTCTGAAAAATGAATTCCACTATTTATATGTGAATATAGAGAAATTCAGGGCTAGCTTCATGGATACATGACCTGTGCACTTGTACAGAGTCCCATGCTTAGAAGAGTACAATGTTTGGTTTAATATTCTGCTATCCCTGTCTCAAAATAGGCCCAATAAATTAGGTAGCTATCCTGGGTAGGGTATTAGAGTCACATTCTCTTGTTAAGTTCAACCAGAAATAATGTCATATTTTGATGTTTATGTTTTCCCATGTATACTTCTTAATTGCTGCATTTCTCAGTTGGGAAAAAAAATTGGTGTAATATTGCCCACAAAGAATCTTCATTTAAAGTTGGTCAAATTATCATTTATGTTTTCCCCACACAGGATGGGTTACACCCAGAAATCTCACATTTAGTACTTTGCTTAAGCAGATTATTAAATGTCTGTCCATGAATAACTTCTCATAGACTTGCACAACCACAACACATCTTTAGAAGTAAAACCCCAATTTATGTGTGAATAATGATTTGATCACAAATCCAAGTGTAACAATATTTGGACTGAGAATATTGGTGGCACATAATAGTTACTAAATACATCAATTTATTTACATTAAATAAATTAGTTTCACAAAAGACACGATCTAAAATTCTATTTTCATGTAGGAGGCAGTTTGTAAAAAAATATATTATTTGGCTGCTATTAAGAATAACTAATATTATTCTGTAATTATAATTTTAACATGCACCTTTGTTAATAAAACAGCTACCTGAAATGGATATTTTAACTGCCGTATCTGCTTATTCTGGCCTTAAATACTATTTTGGATTAACTAATTCATAAATTTTTAAATTCCTAATCAAGTTGCTAATCACAAAATGCATTTATTTTCAGTAAATTCACAAATTAAGCAGAAAAAAGTATAAACCTAATAAATTGAACTTTTAAATAGTAGTGATTTTTTTCTATCTTCCATTTTTGTTTCATTTTGTTTACAATGACTGAAATTATTTGCTATTTAAATACCTGCATTAGTTAAAGTTAAGATGTTGTAGTAAGGATACTCCAAAATATAGTGGCTTAAATAAAACATTAATACAGTTCTCTCTCATGAGACAGAGCTGAGTGGTGCAAAACAGAACAGCTCTGCTCTATAACACCATTCGAAGACCTGTGTTTCTTTTATTTTCTTACTATGCCGTTTCATAGAGTTGTCCTTGTCTCAACGGTTGAAGCTAGCCACCGCTATATCCAGTCTGCTAGTGGGAAGAAGAAAAGAGGAAGCTTAAGGCAAAAGGCTTCATTTTATTTATTTATTTATTTATTTATTTACTTATTTATTTATTTATTGAGACAGGGTCTTGCTCTGTCACTCAGGCTGGAATGCAGTGGCATAATCATAGTTAACTGCATCTCCAAAGTCCTGGGTGCAAGCAATTTTTCTGTCAGCCCCCTGAGTAGCTGGGACTACAAGTGCACACCTCTATGCCTGGCTAAGAGGTTTCATTTTTAAACAGGTGACCTACAAATCACATGCCTGACTTTTACTCAAATATCATTTTTCCAAACTTAGTCATGAGGCCAAGGCTGTGAGTAAAGTTGGCAGCCATGATCCATGCACCTAACTAAAAGTCAGCAACCAAGAGCGAGAGGGAGAGAGAGAAGGAAGAAAAACCATACTGTGGTTACAATTAATGCTATAATATCTCAAGTGTTTAAGCTGTTGTAACTGACACATAATTCTAATAAGGTCCAAAAGATATGAAGGATTTAGTGTGTACAGCCTCTTAATCCTTGGCTAAACGGAACTAAGTTAAATTAAAAGGTTGGAATTACTATATTCCTTATTTCACTTGTAAATAGCAACATAAAGTACTATTAATAAATACTAGAAACATTTCAAATATGGAATATTATAATCAGGAATTTTATGAGAATTTAGATACCTATATTTGGAGAAGCAATACTTCTCAAAGTTCCATCCCTTGGCCTTGCATTGATCTTTTTGAAGTTGGGTTGTTTGCAACATAAGAATATAATTACAGTGAATATATTTATTTAATATAATTTATGTTCCTTATTCTTAAGTTTTCTCTTTTCTAAAAATTTGATGTTGGTACATTTTCATTAATAAACTGACAATGATATAATAGGTTTTGGATATTGTTGTGAATTCCATATTCCTAAAATATAAGTTGGCCGTCCATTGTGGTCCACCTATTAAAATAAATTAATTAATTAATAAATAGTACTGGTGCATAAGATCCAAAACATTGTGGCCGATAATGTGAAGAATAAATGCGAGTTTTCTCCATTATGAGGTTACATTGCACAATGCAACTCTGAACAAAAGGTATTCCGAAATAAAATCCTATATCTAAGGTAATGTATGATGAAGAAACAACACGGAAGCCTTAAAGGATTTGCCCAAGTTTGCACGATTTGGCAAAGGCATTGCTGGCTCCAGAACACTGGCTTCAGCTTATTTCTTTTTTTTTTCTATTGCATAATAAAAGCAATGTTTTCCATCGTGTAAATGGTGGAACATAATTCCTCTGGATATTATTATTTAAAAAATAAATTGTAAAACATGCCAAATAAGTTCATGAAAAGACTACAGTAAAAATTAAAAAGGAAAACTAGTGTCTTTATTGCAGCCTTTTCTAAACTAAGGTGCTTTGTGAGTTACAAGAGAGGGATAGAGGACAGAGCATTTTACACAGCTTCCTGTCTTTGAATGAGCGTCCCTTTATTTCTGCTTACTGAGAATATTTTTTGAGAAACATTTCTCTCTTGGAAATGATTTTAAGCAGACCGTCAACAAACTTTCAAAAGCTTTCTTGTATCAGTATATTTCAAACTCACACACACCTTAAGTTATGCCATATGACTTGCACATGACATGCAGCATACTGAGATACCATTAACTGAACTTTCCTGTATTCAAGTGTAGGGTTCAAGAGGTGCAAACCAATGTTTACTTTTCTGTTCTTATAAAATTCTGGTGCTTCAGAAGACCAAGAAAATACATGAATTCAGGAACTTTCACCTTTAAGTATTCAAATGGCATTTGGTTTATAACGGGCACTAAAGAAATATGTAACACAGATCACTTACGATAGCATCCTGCTGCAGTCTTTAAAATTAGTCCTCAAGTGATTGAAAACATTAGAGGCACGTCTTTTGTCATTGTTATATGTGAAACCGCAACAGCAACCTACACCTTCCACACACGCACACACACACACACACACACACACACACACACACACAAAATTAAGACAATTGGAGCTAAAAAATACAATATCATAACAGGTTATCCCTTTTTGTACTTGTGCACATTTTTTATCTACTTGCCCTGATTTAGTATTTATTTTTTTTGCTGGGTTCCCATTTTCAATTTTCTTCATCCACCATTTCTTTTGTTTTTTATATGTGCTACTATTCTCACTCATTCTTTTACCCATAAACATAACTCATTCTTACTGAGTCACAAATGGCTCCAAGGCATAGAAATATCTTTAAAAGACCATTTCCAAAGTTCAGAGATTTTTTTTATGTTGGTCAATAAATGCTACATGTTTGGGCTTGATTCACATTTTACAAGAAGAGTAATGGAGATGTGATTGGAGTCAGCTAACAGGTATTTTTTTGGAAAGACGTTTGGTGGAAGTGTCACATTTTATCTTAGTTGACTTGTTTGACGTTTATTAAGTTTCTCTATTGAGGTTTATCTAATGTTTTTCTCTTGATCAGACTGGGGTTATGTGATCTTTTGAAGAAGGCCACAGAGCTAAAGTGCCATTCTCATCAAATTATATAAAAAGTACATATTTTCAACATGACATTACTGTTGATGTTGACCTGAGGTAGTGCTTGTCAGGTTTCACCGCTTTAGAGTCATTCCTTTTTTCCTCTTGCCATACTGTATGCATTGAGTAGTTGCTGAGTGCTGGGCATAGTTTTAAGCACTTTATCTCTACCTCCGCATTTAATCTCTAAAATAAGTCTTTGATATCAGTACTATTGTTTTCCCTACTCTGTCCAGAACGGGGCTAATTTCTCAAGGTCACACAGAATAGTAGGTGATGTAATACAGATTCACACCCATGCAGTCTGACTTCTCTAGTGTCACTCATTCAGAAACTGAGTATTTTCTCCATCGTTTTAAAACGACAATCCTTTCTTTGTCTTGTTTTGTTTTGTTTTGAGAGGAAGTTTTGCTCTGTTGCGCAGGCTAGAGTGCAGTGACGCGATCTCGGCTCACTGCAAACTCCACGTCCGGGGTTCAAGCGATTCTTGTACCTCAGCCTCCTGAATTGCTGGGACTACAGGCATGCGCCACGTGCTCTGCTACTTCTTGTGTTTTTTAGTAGAGACAGGGTTTCGTCATGTTGGTCAGGCTGGTCTTGAACTCCAGACTTAAAGCGATCCACTCGCTTCGGGCTCCCAAAGTGTTGAGATTACGGGCGTGAGCCACCGTGCCCAGCCAGAACTTAATCCTTTCTTTCATTCATTGTACTTTTTTGAATGTACAGCTAATTTGCTTCTTATATTTAAAAAAAAACATTTCTGACATTATGGAAGCTCTCCTAAAAACCTAAAAACTTTATGAAAATTAGGCACTGTTCTATTTGCAATACTTTATCACACAGTATTAAAATTGTACATATTTAAATCTCTCTCACCACTCTAGCTAATAAACTTCTTAAGATCTGGAATTTCATCTCTTATATCCCTGATCTTGTCATTATTTATGCTTGCAATACATCTGAATAAATGCATGTCTACTTTTTGTTATGAGGCTGCAAGCAACTAATACATCTGATTCATATTAATGTTTCATTTTTAATAATTTATACTCAACCACATTGTAGATGTTTAATAATTAATGAATGAATGAGTATGGATCTGTGAAATATGTCTTATCACCCCTATGTGGATGAAATTTGAATGATATTTTTTAAAACAGAAAATAAATATAGGAAGACTAGGTCTAAATTTCCTCAAGATATTTATGCTAGCAATTTGTTTCTCTAAATAGTGTGTAGTCCTTCAATTATTTCAAATTGTTGTAAAGATTCATGGACTTTTATTTTGCTTTGTTTTGTCTTAGTCTACAATTAGTAATTTTTAATTTACCTAATAACTACAGAACCCAAGGTAAATAAGATAATAGTTTTTTTTTACAAAGGAAGATTGAGTAAAAGGGTAAATTTAAAAGAATTGTGGTGGACCAGGCATGATGGCTCATACCTGTAATCCTAGCACTTTGTGGGGTGAAAGCCAGAGGGTCACTTGAGGTCAGGAGTTCAAAACCAGACTGGCAACATAGCAAGACCCTGTCTCAACGACAAAAAAAATATTTAAAAAATTAGCCAGATGCAGTGGCACACATTGTAATTCCAGATAATGGGGAGGCTGAGGTGGGAGGACCCCTTGAGCCCAGGAGTATGAGGCTGCAGTGAGCTATGATCATGCCACTGTATTCCAGCCTGGGGAACAAAGCAAGATCCTGTCTCTAAAATAAAATAAAGTAAAAGTAAAGATTAAAAAAAGAAGTTGTGAATACTGAAACAGAAGAGAATTATTTTAGGTACTTCAATATTTATTTCTGATTTCTTGTCTCTGGCCAAAAGAAAGAGAGGGGGAGTTAAAACTGAAGTGAATTTAGTCCTTTATCATTATTCAACAAATTCAGTGAACAGAAAAATATAATGGATTTTCTAGGAATAGCTTCTGTTATTTTAGAAATGCTGAAAGTAGATTAAAAGCTGCATAGTTATTGACCTAAAAATATCCACTGCTAGAATTTTTCTTTCATTATTCAGAAGCAAATGCTTTGCTAAAAACCTATAAATAAAAGTACTGATGTTTTTAAGTATGTTTGAAGAACTCACTTTTGGAACAATTGCATCAATCCAAGATAATGTTAATCTACTGGAAAAAATTACAGACCATGTTTATTGGATATTTAACTCTGTGTGGAAAGTAATTTCTTATTCATCTCTCTGCTCCTTCTTACATCTAATAGTGTTTAGCCCATAAGAGTCGATGATAAATATTTATTGTATGTCTGCATAAAATACAGACATAAAATGTCTGTTTAAAATTAATTTTAAGTCAGTTTTCTCATAGAAAAACTGTGGTTTAGCATATTGTTAACTTAAGCAGGTATTGACATAATAGTTATTGAACTTAAACTTTACTATTTTTTTAATGAAAAATATTTTGTATAAATTCACTTATACAACTGTTATTGTACCCTCTGACTTTTTTTGGAAGAAGTAAAAATTATATTATGCAAGGAAATTTTTGACAGAATATAAGGGACAGATAAATTCAAAGTGTTTTTTATTTTCACAATTGCATTCAGTTTTATTTTCCATTTTAATAATATATTTTCATAAACAGGGACAAATGAATCATAAAAAGTAAACAAATTGCAGCCTACTAGTGGCACTGATGCTTTCCCACAGATTCTTAGGTTAAGTCTGTAAAGAAATAAAATCATTAATTTGAAATGTTTCCAGGTTATTTGTGCCCCAAACTTAATAGTGAAAAAAAGTATACCCAGATTTGCCTTTACATTTGCATTATGGATACTGTTTTTTTTAAAATGTTGACTTCACAGTAATTCACAGCCTATAGTCCACTAATTGTGACATACATAATTAATATTTGTTGGATTAAATTTCACTGTTCATTAACATGACTTTGAGTAAGAAGGCTGACCTAGTAAATTTCCACAATAAACGATGTTAATATTACCAGTAAATTCTAGTTAAGTTCCATGCAAAAGCTGTTTTTTTATCTCAAGCAACCTGAGTTATCAAAATATCTAACCCTCATGTATTTTAAGTATTGTTCTGGAGATTCATCAATTTAATCAAAGCTATTGCTTCAGTCCTGATAAGTAGTCTTGTAAAAGACGCTAAAGTACTGTACAGATTTATAATCAGCAAAAACCGACAAACACATGCAATATATTGGACAATGTGCCCCAAATATTTTATTACTCTATTTATTATATTTTCCAATGAGTTGTAGAATATAGTTTACAAATCATTACACTGACTATTAGCACATTATGAGCCTTCAACATATTCCATTACACATGAAGAGAAAACTGAAGTCTTAAGATGAATGCAAAAACATACTTAAAACAATAGCTCTAGAGGAAGATATATGGTTTATAATTCTTCATATAGTCTACCTGATGGCAAAAAAAAATCTTAAATCAATAAAAAATTTACTGGTCTTATACTTTCTTTGTGCCCAGTGTATATAATCTCTCATTCTCTTAATATATATGTGAACTCACAACTGATTCTACACTCAATATGTTGTGATATTTTGTTTTGGTTTAATATGTGAAGAAAATCTGGACTCACATAGACATGTAATTGAAAAAGGGAGGAGTATTTTAATAGCCTTATGATTGGTGCAGTTAGTCCAATTTGATGTTACACCCAGCTTTACAAACAGTAGTTTCTTAAAGATTAGTTGCAATTTGGAATGAAAATTGTATCAATGAACTTCTCATAATCTGTTTAATTTCACTGATATATCTTAGATATAAAGTGAATTTTTGGTAAGGTCACTGATCATTTGAAAAATTATCAGTTTACTGGGTTGTGTAGATTTCACAAAAGTTGATACCCTTAACTAGGCTAAATGTTAATAATCACATGTTAATATCACCATTGAGCTCATCAGAAACATTTTCTTGTATTGAGAAACTGTCAAGCTCATAATGGTGGATAAAAGTTTTGCAAAATTCTGTTTCTCTTGAAATTAAAATTTCATTATTTGCAACACACACTGTTAGTTGTTTTCCTTTAAGTAAACAGTTCTGTTCCTTAACTTCGTAACACTAAATTCTGAATAACAATACTTTGACGGTCATTCTTTCAAGTGGAAATGGTGTTTAGTATCAACAGATAGCTACATCAGCTCACGAGTCAAACAACTGCACAATTATTTTTCTTGATACAATCTTCATACTTGGATGGGCAGCAGAAATGCACTTTATATATATTTCTCATTTTCATCATATAGAATATAAAAAGACATGTTTTCAAATTAAAAGATTTAATAAAATTAATAATTTTCGAAGACATTCTTAGGTGAAACAGGTATTTTTTTTCACATGTGTGGCGGGAAAAATTATTTGGTATCACTGCCTCAATTCCTGATAACACATCAATGATTTTACATATCACTGCTTTTGTATCATGAATTCAAATGCATACACAGTGAGAAAGGCAAATACTTTCTTAGCATTATTAAGAAAAAGTTTTTTATTGGACCAGCTGAGAGGGTTACAGTGAAATTTGGAGCCAAAAATCACAGCTTAATAACTATTGTTCTAAATATATCTAACCAAAAACTGATAGCGTTCTGTGGAATAGAATACAAAGTAACTGTAACTGCAAAATCTTCCATATGTGCAACAAGAAAAGATTTTGTATGAGAGACTTTTGCTTTCTGGGAGAATCCTGCTTGTTGAAGATATGTTGGAGGTTACATCTTATTTATGAATTAAATACAGGCCATTTGTTTCTTATTTTGTCTTGAAGCTTACAGGTTCTTTTACATTTCCATTCACCCCCACTGCCTTTTAAAAGAACATCAGAATGATAGATATTCAGAGTTCTTATTGTAGCTTACACAAAACAGAAGAAATTATATTTGGAGTAAAAATAAAGAACCTTTACTTTCACCTTTATATTTAAAGCCTCTCAACTCAGGAGATACAGTGTGGAAGATCTTATTGAAACCACCTTTGCAAAAATTATAACTGAGAAAACTATGACAATGAAAGAGATCTACCTGATTCCATCTTGCTTCTAACCTCTACGCTCTCCTAATTTATACCTGGGTTTAGGCAGAACTATTTTTTGGAGGAACTTAGTTTATAGTTTAACTTTGGAACAAAGATGATCACAGCCTCATCCCAAAACAAACTCCCTTCCTGCCTGGAGGCTAGATTGCCTTTGTGGGACTAACAAATTAGCTACAAGATTAGAGATTATGATTTAGGAGTCATGCATCTGGAGGCTACAAGATGCTGAACCTCCCCAAATTGCTTCTGGGGATAACATTACTTTTGTAAAACCTGAGATCAGTGCTTGAGATATTTTACAGACACTGTACTTGATGGCTTATTTGGTCTTGTGGCCCCCACCCAGGAATTGACTCAGTGCAAGAGGACAGCTGGGACTCCCAATGATTTCATCTCTCACCGCACCAGTCAGCACTCCCCACTGTCCAACCCCTGCCACCAAATTATCCTTGAAAACCTCGATCCCCAGGTTTTCAGGGAGACTGATTTACGTAATAATAAAGCTCTGGTCTCCTGCACAGCTGGCTCTGTATGAATTAAACTCTTTATTACAATTCCCCTGTCTTGATAAATCGGCTCTGTCTAGGCAGAGGGCAAGGAAGACCCCTTGGGCAGTTACATTATCTCTTTTCTTCTTAGAACATAAGTCTTTCTCCATTGTATTGAAAGGTCATTAAGAGTCTGTTCAAATAACTCATATGTGAAATATGACAAGAATTCCATACTAATATAATGTTATCCAGTAATATTTACAGCAAAGTTACTATTTATGCAGTGTTTTGCTGGAGCCAATTTATAATGGCACACAAGAGTCAACTGTGCACCTCTCTTCCCAATGCTACATTCGATGATGTCATCAAAATAAAGCTGAGATTTGCCAAACTCATTGTCAATCAGAGTTTGCCTAAGGAGGTATTTCTAAGAATAAAACATAATTGAGTCCCGAAAAGATATGTAAAATATTCATTTTTAATGATACTGCTGCTGTTACTGACAATAGTAATTATATTTATTTTTTGGCCAAAAAATTTAATTATAAACTTTTGCCAAATTGTCTTTGTCAATTAATAAAGTTTAAAATTTATCAAGTATTTCTTCTACTGTGTTTGGAAAAATTCCCTGGATCTCTATTGAGCTTACTTTGAATAATAAAAAAAAAACTCTTATTTTAATATGAGGAAATCTTCCAGTGCTGACTTTGCCCTGTATCAGACATATATTCTTAAAATAAAGACTAAATATTTTATGTAAGCATTTTAGCAAATGTTTCCAGTACTTTGGATGGCATCATGTATATATATTAGATAATATTTACTTAAGGATGCCAATATAAAAAAAACTAGATCTTTAGCAAAAACCCAACTCAATATAGAGTTATCCTTGTGTTTAGTTGAAATAAATTTTTGACTTTTTAGCAAAAATAATTTCCATATCTTCAATAATTTTGTTAAGAAGTATTAAAAAACCTGTGAGAGACTGGTTTAAAGTTAATATGATGAAAAAATAGATAAACCTCATGAAATAGAGCTACATGAGAAAATAGCACCCAGCACAGTTCCAGTGGTCAATCTATCAATGTTAATTAAGAGAAGTTCTGCCTGGGTCTAAAGAACAGGAAAGAAAATGAGAAATGTGGTCAGTAAAACAACAGCAAGAAAAGAAAGAGGGCTTGGTTAGATGTCAAGATACCCTTCTGGTTTTCAGCCCAGTTCTGCCACTAACTAGCTGTGTCCCTTACTCTTATGGAATGTGTTTCTTTGGGCCCTTGTTGGCTTAAATGTACAGTGAGAGAAATTAATTGGTCTGCTTTAAATTTCTTACATTTCTAAAACTTACAGTATGATTAAGGACATAGGATAATCAAGGAGATTTATATATATATATTTATATATATAATCCAACAACTACTGCATGATATATATATAGAGTTTGAACCATGAGTTTTGATCAGATTAGTTCAGCTGTGATGATAAGTTTATAAAACTGCCTAAACAAAACAATTTCCTCTCTCGTTTCTGCTCAGAACATGGCAACTGCAGAAAACCCATGGTCAGTTTCATAGTAAATTATGAGATTGTGACACTTCTGCCAAAAGGGATAACACAGATTCCAAAACCTCTAGAAATTTTTAAGGTATTTCCACAGGTTTCAGAAAACCAAAACAAAGCAAGAATATTTATTACAACATATGATTTTGGTAAATGTGTTTTTTCTCTTTCATATATAATGTTGAAAACATATCATGCGGCTGGGTGCGGTGGCTCACGCCTGTAATCCCAGCGCTTTGGGAGTCCAAGGAGGGTGGATCACCTAAAGTCAGGAGTTCGAGACCAGCTTGGCCAACATGGTGAAACCTCATCTCTACTAAAATACAAAAATTAGCCGGGCATGGTGACGGGCAACTGTAATCCCAACTGCAAGGGAGCCTGAGGCAGGAGAATTGCTTGAACCCAGGAGGCAGAGGTTGTGGTGAGCCAAGATCGTGCCACTGCACTCCAGCCTGGGTGACAGAGTGAGACTCCATCTCAAAAAAAACAAAGATATCATGCATAGCACTAAATACAGTATAAACTAAGACATATTCTTGGCCTGGTGATTAATATTTATAGTGGATGATTATAATCAACTGGTTCAGAAAGTTTTTAAATTTTTAGAGTATAAGACTTATTGGCTATAAGAAGAAAATAGTAATTTAAAGATGTAAAAATTCTTTTATTAAGACATAAAATAAAACTACACAAGTAATTGAAAATAATGGGCTATAAAACCAAAGGCGATGATTGACATCAGTGTTACTGATAGCTATATTATAGTGTGATGTACAAATAAAAATCACAACTTGGAAACATAGTATCAAATTTCCTCATAAATCATAAGTTGAGAATAAATGTTCTTTAAAGAGGAACTCCAGGCTCAGATGTTAGCTGACCTGGATTTTAAACTTGACTACCTTCCTTCCAATCATATAATCTTTCATGTCTATCTCTAGTAGTAATAAGGTTAATCTAAAGTAAATGATAATTTTTATGCTGTGAAATAAATTGTTTTTATTTTATTATATATTTTTCTCTCTTATTCGAACTATATAATAATCATATATCACTTTTAGTAAATACATAATGATAAAATCCAAAGGAAATACAGCAAGATTTTAAGAAATTATTTATTCTGAACAGTAAGAGTTTGAAGAATTATTGTTCTTTTCTGCATTTTTTGCATTTTAATAATTAAAATTCAATTTATTAAAATCATTAATCATGCCATCATTAAAAATAAAAATATATTTAATGCAATTTATACCTTAAGCTCTCTATATATTTTACATTTATCTCAACAAATATTTATAACAACTTCAGGCAACTGAAAATGTTATTACTTTCCTTGTATCAATTAAAAAATGCAGGTTGAGAAAGATTACTGTCTTCTCCAAAGTTGTAAGTGTTACAGATAGGATTAGAACATAGATATGCCTTATTTAGCTCATGACATTTGTAGCCCACATTTCCCATTGAGTAAAGGGACCAATTAGTTCAGCCAAAACTGCAAATTCAGTTCTCTTCTCTACAACTAGCCTTAGGATTGTGAAAACCATTTTTATTCATGATCCATTTCCAATAAACAGAATATCCTTTTTCTTTCATTCATGCCTAACATAAATAAAATCAAAGGTGTTTTGGGGAGAACATTGAAAATGAGGATTTCAATATTAACATTGACTGAAATAGATGACAAGATCATAGGAAGCATCTAAGTATGTTTTTCTTTATAATGCCTAGAAAAATCAGCACTGGTGGTTTCTGTGTAGAAGTTCAATAATGTTTTATCTCATCTGTAATATATAAATAATTATGGTAGAACAAGAAATAGTTTCAGACCAAACCCTATTTTCTAAGATTGCTCTTACACTATGGGATCAATTTATTTGCAAAAGTTTCTTCTTTTCTTTTTTTTTCCCTCAGGATTATCCTTTCTACTCTCCTACTTTCTGAACTACTTTTCTCCCTCTGTAAGTCTTAAAGAAGTTCAATGAGCTATAAGTGAACTCAGGTAGACAACTCAACAAAATCAAGAAGACAATACATGAACAAAATGATACTTTGAATAAATAAATATAAACCATAAAAAACTTGAATTATTCAGTTCAGTCATAATACATGACTTTAAACTTCAAAACAGTTTGTTATAGTACAGCCAAAATCATTAAAATTGGTCAGCTAAGAAGTATATATTTTTTCTAGTTCTCTAATGGATAGCTGTACATTATATTCACAACTTACAAAATCTGTCCAGCAAGATAACAGATTAGAAGACACTTAACATTGCTTCCCCCACAAAGGTATAAGCAGTAACTATTCAAAGACAATAAAACTACCCTGAAGTTACTAGAACTTGAGAGAGAAGCAGAGGAACTGATGGAGCCTGCAGAAATGAGAGAAGCTGTGACTGATAAATGACGATTTTAGAATCTGCCACCCACTACCCCAAGCCACATAACAGCTCACAGAAAATTTCTATACATTTAGGATGTCTGAGTTGGAAGAAATTCGAAGTTGAAAATAAACATTCAATTTCCCTATCAGTTGAGGAGGCTTCATGGGAAGTCTACATGGGTCTCATCCCATGGAAAACACTGAGAGTTCCAGGAGGGCTGAATGACCTGAGTGAACTGAAGATAAAATCAGGAGAGCTGATTGCAGCAACTGTCCTGTGGATCTTGGTAGCTGCTCTGCATTCTGCTCAGCAGGAATGCCATGCTGAGGAGACTGTCAAGTCTCATAGCACTGCAGAGGTTATGAGCCCTGGAAATGCCTGAGTCCTTTTTTGTGTTTATGTGGCACCTTCCCCTGACCCAGAAGCAGCTGAAATATTTAGTAAGTTCTGGTGCTCGCAATAAGTCTTTTCCAAATAACAAACAATGGCAGAGCAGTGATTTCACTCCAGTGCAGCATTTAAATTCTGATACACACTAAGTCCTCCCCACTCAGGAGTCAAAAGCTGGACAGCAATTAAGTTCTGATATTAAGTTGTAATGATCTAAGACCACAAAAAACACCTGCAAAAACAGAAAGAGGTGACCATCTCCTCAAATTCACAGGCATCAATATAAAGATAAAAGGATTAATAAAAATCAGGAAAATATGACACCAACAAAAGAAATAAACAAAGCTCTATAATGGACACAGAAGAACTGATCTATAAAATGTCTGAATTCCAAATTCAGAATAATCTACTTTAAAATTTTCAGGGAATCACAATAAAATATAAATAGAAAATTAACTAAAATTTGGAAAACAATCCATAAATACAATGAGATATTTGACAAATAAAGAAACATTTTTAAAGCCCAAATAAATCCTAGAAATAAAGAATATAATAACTGAACTGAAAAAACTCAATAGAAAGCTTTTACAGTAGACATAATCAGAGGAAACAGCTTGAAGACGTATGAAATTAATCAGAGGAGCAAAAAGAAAAAAGAAAAAATATGGTGAAGAAGACCTTCAGGAATTGTGGGACACTATTTAAAGTAAACTAACCTTCACATAATAGGAGTTTCCGAATGAGAAAAGGGAGAATAGACCTAGAACACATATTTAAGGAAATCATAGCTAAAAACCTCCTAAATCTACATGTAGAAAACAACATCCACTTACAAGAAACATAGAAGTTACTAATCAAATTAACTCAAAAGGAATTCCCCAACACCCTTCAAATTATGATAAAAAAAATCAAAGACAAAGAAAGAATACTGAAAAAAAGAAGAGAAAAGAGACATATCACATTAATCAGGGCCCTAATACAGCTTTCATCAGATTCTCAGCAAAAACCCTGCAGGAAAGGAGAAAATGATATGATATATTCAAAGTAGTGAAGGAGAATAAAAACCTGCCAACCAAGAATATTGTACCAAGCAAAGGTATTCTTCAAACATAAAGAAAAGATAAAGTCTGCAGATAAACCAAAGCTGAGGGGATTCATCAACACTAGACCTACTAAAATGCTAAAGGAAGTTTTTTAATCTGAAAGAAAAGGATGCTAATATGTAAAAAGAAAACATCTTAAGGTATACAACTCATTGGTCATAGTAAGTAAACAAATTCAGGGCACTCAAAAACTAATTGGGCCAGGTGTGGTGGCTCATGCCTGTAATCCCAACACTTTGGGAGATTGAGGTGGGCGTATCACCTGAGGTAAGGAGTTCAAGACCAGCCTGGCCAACATCGTGAAACCCCATCTCTACTAAAAATACAAAAATTAGCTGGGCATGGTGGCATGCACCTATGGTCCCAGCTACTTGGAGGCTGAGACACGAGAATCGCTTGAACCCAAGAGGCGGAGGTTACAGTGAGCTGAGATCATGCCACTGCACTCTACCCTAGGTGAATGAGCGAGACTCTGCCCCCTCCCCTCCAAAAAAAAATAAGAAACTGTAAGTGTATATAAATCACTTACATCTTTTTTTCTTTTCTTTTTTTTTTTTTTTGAGACAGCATCTCACTCTATCACCCAGGTCAGAGTGTAGTGGTGTGATCTCAGCTCACTGTAACCTTTGCTTCCCAGGCTCAAATGAATTACCCACATCAGCCTCCCAAGTAGCTGGAACCATAGGTGTCACTTACATCTTTATATAATATCGCTTTCATCTTTTAGTATCTAAAAGAAAAAAAATTAATGATAATAACAACAATTGTTTAAGAGAAAGAACATGTAAAAAGAAGTAAAATTTACATATCAAAATCCAAAATTTGGAAAAAGACTGGTTTAAAATGTAAAAACTTATGATAAATACACTAAAAATAAAAAGTGCTGAACCAAAGCATACTAGAGAGAATCACTTTACCACAAAAAAGACAGAAAAATGAAAGAAAGATAGTTTGCTGAGAACGATGGTTTCCAGCTTCATCCATGTCCCTACAAAGGACATGAACTCATCATTTTTTAAGGCTGCATAGTATTCCACACACATCAGGGCCTGTTGTGGGGTGGGGGGAGGGGGGAGGGATAGAATTAGGAGATATACCTAATGTTAAATGACGAGTTAATGGGTGCAGCACACCAACATGGCACATGTATACATATGTAACAGACCTGCACATTGTGCACATGTACCCTAAAACTTAAAGCATAATAAAAAAAAGAAAGACTCTCCAAAACAGTTTTAAAAAGTGACAAAATGACAGTAAAGTCTTTACCTAGAAATAATAACCTTGAATATAAATGAATTCACTGATTAAAATACATAGGGTTGTTTAATGGATTAAGCACACACACAACACACACACAGACATACAAAGCACCCCCACACCCACACCATATGCTGCCTACAGAAACTCACTCCATTTATGAAGATACAAATGGACTGAAAGTGAAGAAAAGAAAAAACACATTCTACACAAATGTGCACCCCATAAAAAGCAGGAATAGCTATACTTACATAAATAACCTTCAAGTCAAGTACTGTAAAATAAATACAAAGAAGATTATTATGTAATGACAAAGCTGTTATAACATTTGTACATATACATGCACTCAGCACTGAAGCACCTAAATATATAAAGCGAATACTAACCTAGAGGAAGAGATTGACAGCAGGACAATAATGGTGGAAAACTTTATCACTCCCCTTTTCAGCAATGGATGGATGATCCAGAGAGAAAAATCAACAAAGAAACATCAGAGTTCAACTGCACTGTAGATAAAATGAACCTAACAGATATTTACAAAACATTCTATCCAACAACTACAAAATACACTTTCTTTTCAAGTGCACATGGAACAGTTTTTAGAATAGACTATGCTGAGTCATAACACAAGTCTTACAAAATTTTCAAAAATAAAAATCACATCAAGTACTTTTTCTAAACACAATGAAATAATACCAGAAATCAATAAAACTAGAAATCAATAACAGAAGGAATGGTGGAAGCTTTACAAATACATGGAAATTAAACAGCACGCTCTTGTATCCCCATTAAGAAAAGAAATTTCTGAAAATTTCTGGAGATAGAAAATGAAAGCCTATGGGATATAGCAGAAGTATGTCAAAGAGGAAACACTAGAGCAATAAATTCCTACATCAAAAAAGTAAAAAGATATCCAATTAAAAACCATCTGGTGCACTTCAAGGAACTAGAAAATTTCTAAAAAGCCAAATGCAAAATTAGTAGAAGAAAAGAAATAACAAAGATCACAGCAGAAACAAAAAAAAAACAGAGATTTTAAAACAATACAAAAAAATCCATCAAAGAAAAACAATTTGTTTGAAAATCAAAAGAAATTAGCTACACTAAGAACAAAAGAGAAAAGAGTCAAATAACTAAAATCAGAGAAGAAAAAAGATATATTACACAGAATTTGTCAACAGAAATACAAAGATCATAAGAGATTTTATGAACAACTATAAATCAAGAAATTTGAAAGCTAGAAAAAATGAATCCAGACTGAATTATGAAGAAATAGAAAACCTGAACAAATAAAGAGTAACAAGATTGAATCAGTAATAAAAAAAAATTCTCCCATCAAAGAGAAGCCTAGGATCTGACAAATTCACTGCTGAATTCTACCAAACTATCAAATAACTAATACTAATTCTTCTAAAACTACTATGTTAAATTGAAGAAGAAGGAATATGTCTAACTCAGGCTATCAGGCAAGCATTACCTTGACACCAAAACCAGATAATGACACAACAATAAAAGAAAACTACAGGTTAGTATCTCTGAAACATAGAGGCAAAAATCCTGAGCAAAATGCTAGCAAACTGAATCCATCAACACATTAAAAGATCACTTACTATGATCAAGTGTGATTCATCATAGGAATTTGAGGATGATGTGTTAGGCTCTTCTTGCGTTGCTACAAACCAACACCTGAGACTGCGTAATTTATTTTTTAAAAAAGATTTAATTGGCCCTACAGGGTGTATAAGCCTGGTTCCAACATCTGCTCAGCTTCTGGGGAAGCCTCAGGGAATATTTACTCATGGTGGTAGACGAAGTGGGAACAGACACATCACATGGTGAAAGCAAGAACAAGAGAGTGAGTGGGAGGTGCCACACACTTGGAAACAACCAAATCTCATGAGAACTCATTCACAATTACAAGGATAGCACCAGTCAATGAGGAATCCACATCTATGATCTAATCACCTTTCACCAGGCCCCACCTCCAACATTAGGAATTACATTTTAATATGAGATTGGGGGGACAAATATCCAACCTATATCAGATGGTTTATAATATGCAAATCAATAAATGTGGTACGTTAACACAATCAGGTACAAAAAACATATGACCATTACAATAGATGCAGAAATAGCATTTCATAAATTCAACATCCCATCATGATAAAAACTTTCAATCAATTAGGTATAGCAGGAATATAACTCAACCTAATAAAGACATGCAAATGGCCAGTAGATATTTGACAAATAATGATTAGCATCACCAATCATCATGGAAATACAAATCAAGACCACAGCGAGATATTACCTCATACCTGTTAGAATGGCTATTATCAAAAAGACAAAAAATAACAAATGCTGGTGAGGATGAAGAAAAAGGGGAACACTCATACACTGTTAGTGGGAATGTAAATTAGTACAGACATGGAAAACAGTATGAAGGTTTCTCAAAAAATTAAAAATAAAATTATTAAATGATTTAGCAGTCTCACTGTGAGGTATATATTCAGAGAAATAAAATGAGAAGTCAATGAGATATCTGCATTTCTATGTTGTTTATTGCAGCACTGTTCACATTATGTAAGTGATAAAATTGACCTAAATATCCATCAATGGACAAATAGATCAAGAAAACATGATAAACATACACAGTGGAATACTATACAGCTACAAAAAGAATGACCTTCTGTCATTTGTGACAACGTGGATAAACCTGCAGGACATTCTGTTAAGTGAAATCAACCAGGTACAGAAAAACAAATATTGCATGAGCTCACTCATATGTGGAATCTAAAGTAATTTTACTCATTGACCAACCTCTTTCCATCCCCCATCCCCTTTTCTCTCCTCAACCTCTGGTAACTGCTGTTCTACTCTTTATTTCTATGAGACCACAGTTACAGTTAGATAGGAAGAATAAATTCTGGTGTTCTATTACATAGCAGAGTGACTACAGCTAAAAATAGTGTATTATATATTTCAATATAGCTAGAGAAGAAGATCTTGAATGTTATCACCACAAAGAAATGATAATGCTGTGGTAATGGGTATGTTAATTATCCTGATATGATCATTAAACAATGCATATATCTATTGAAACATCACAGTATACCCCCAAACATGTACAATTATTGTGTCAATTATAAACAAAAATAAGAAAGAAAATTCAGAAGGAGGGATTTTTTTTTAATCTTGTCCTTTTTTGTTCACACTCCAGGAAGATCCTTATGTTTCACCATTTACTTCTATTTCAACAGTTGAGTGTGATATAATTAATTAGATTAGAAAGTAGGGCAGGATATACATGTCAAGCACATTGAAGTAATTTGCCATGATTATCTCTTTAATATTTTCATGTAAAATCAAAGCTGACTGTTATATTCAAGATCTATGTGAAAGATATACACCTTCTAGTCTATAGTTTTGAACTTTTTTATTTGATTGTGGTTTACTAACATTAATTTCAATATATGTGTTACTGCCTCACATATGTGCTTTTTATATCTAGAAAATATAAGGGCTCCTGAAATTTAAAAATAGTATGAAATTAGTACCTTATAGTAAAAATCTCTAGCTTGACCAACTATGAGGATTTAAAAGGTGGCATGAGGATACGTGGTTTTATTCTAACATGTTTTAAAATATATGTAGACTGATAAACTTTTAAATAAATAAAATGGCTGGTAATAGCTATTTTGAACATCACATAAACAAATGTGTAAATGTCCAGTGGTAAAATGATGAAGGCAGTAGGCATAATGCAAAATATACGCTAAAGTGTTAAACCAGTAACTCAACTCCAGCATGGTTTTGCCATTCAGGCTAAAGGAAACACAAGAATTCCTGCCTTGCCCCCCACGTAGTTTTTCTAAAGAAATGCAAAATTCAGATTCTTATTTGAAATATTCTGATTTCTATATGTCTCTCAAAGAACAGTTGATATTTAATGACTAGTGTTTCTAGGTATGTAAGCTTTATATTCTACTATTTTGTTGCATTCTCATACCACTTTAATAAGTCAGGCAAAGGAAGCAACTGAAGGCTCAATAAAGGACGGTAGATCAACAGTAATGATTGATACCTAAATTCTGATAACAATTGTCCCACTTGATTCATGAATTTATTATCACTGAATAAAGAGTCCTTCTGATTTTCTCTACTTTGTCTGAAAAATTCAGCAGGGATTTTTGCTGTTGTTTATTTCCCTTCTCAACAGGTGTTTTGCCTTCATGCTCAATAGCTATTTCAATTAAACTGTCAGAATATGTTTCACACTTCCCAAAACCTGGCATCTTACAGCAAAGTGTGTGCAACCTTTTATTAGGAAGTTTGGAGAGCTTGTAATGGATATACAAATGATTTTTCCATAAAGACTTTCTGACTTTAGAATGAACAGCACTAGGTAAATCCTTATGTAGTTTATTGTTATAAGAAAAATCAAAGATTTGGTTTAATTATACATAGATTTGAAATTCAGTTGCAATGGGGACTGAAAGTAAAGGATATTAAGTTTTGCTCTGTAAGCTCTTCCAGGAATGAATTGCATTGGCCTCTTGAAGTGGCTCCTAGTCATCACTTTCAAAGGCATTTAATAGTTGTAGTAGATCTAAATCATAACTTATATGTACATTGATACTTGCTAGCTGTATTAAGGCCTGAGTCAGCAGTGGCCACGGCTGAGCAAGATCAGTTATTTGGTGGCTTTCACCCAACTGGAAAAGGGTTGCAGCTTTCACTGTGACTATGATAAATCACTCTCTTTTTTGGCCTGATACAGGAGATTTTTGAACTCGATCCATTGTGGTGTTTTTTGATGTCATTTTAGGTGAACTCCTGAGAAATTTGGTGTAAAATAGAAATTTAAATCTGGATTTTATCACTAAAAATAATTGTAGGATTTTGATATTGAAAGTAATCAAGAGATAATAAAGTCCAATTCCTCATTTTAAAGATAGGACAAATAGGAATGGGCAAGGTGACTGCTCCAGGTCATATAGCTTTTTAGTAGCCAAGCTGAAACAGGAACATAGGGAACCAGTTTATAAGGCCAATGTTTGAGCACCTGTACTATGCTACTAAGTACTAGCATTTAATATTTAGCCATGCCAATGTAAAAAGAAAGAACAGGAGAGGTGGAAAGTCAAATGTGGAGAAACAACACTGATCGTCTTTGTTAGTTTAAATTTTTCTTTACAAGGTGTCTCAGTAAGGCAATTTTATGTCTCTCTTTTGCTAAAAAGCATCTGAAAATAATCAACAATTTCACAAAAGGGACAAAATCATACAGTTTAGAAATAATTACAATAACTGTCCATAAGCAAGGATTCCTTCCTAAAAGATACTTGCTTTACTTAATCTTTGACCATCTTCTGCATTCACACTACTTTCCTAAGTGCAGTATAAATGGCTCCCAAAGTATGGAATTTAGAGTTAATGAGGAAATAATATAGGTTCAATATCATTATACTATCAAATATTGTTTAGGCTTAGTAAACAACAGGTGATATTGCTACTGATTAATACATTCAGAACAGGTTCATGGAAATGGTGACATTGTATTTGTCCTTAAATGGTAATAAATTTTTCAACAAGTGGAAGTGAGAGAACAACTGTAAGTGTATATTTCAGGCAGAGTGAGTGACAAAGGCATTGAGATAGAGTGGTAGAGGAACAAAAGGAACACAGCAGAGGTAGAATTTGGTTCAAGGGTATTGTGTTTCTAAGGCCAACAATAGAAGATAATTTTGGTAAATAAAAGATCTCTAGTAACATACAATGGTACCAGGGCATTATAATATAGGAAAATGTTTAAACAGAGAAGTGATATGTTCAAAACTGTTTTAGAAAGATAATGCTAGCAATAGGTTTAAGATGGATTGCACAGTGATGATACTTAAAGGAAAGAAGGATTCTGAGACTTGGATTTGGATGGAGCAGTGGAAATGGCTGATAAAGAAGCCTGTGACTTTCTTCAGAGAAAACCAGCATATCTTTATAACTGATTCAATGGGGAAAGTGAACAATATAAAGAAAAGAGTAACATTAAACATGAATTTGAAATTTCAGGCCTTTGGAGAATATGGATATAATGAACAAAGATTAGGAAATAAGTAAGTGGAAAAAATTTGGAAAGAAAGATGAATCTTCTAAGAAGATGCTAATCTTACTAGGTGAATTTTATTGATGGCATTAGATATATAAGTATGGGGGGCATCCTAAAAATGTGATATGAGAAACATTGAGGGATATGATAATTAGAAAAATGAATGAGCATTTCAAGAATGTCCCTATTGCCACAGAAGGTTGAAAAGATGATCCAGTGAAGAAACAAGAGAAGATGTAGCCAGGAAATATCTGAAGCAAACTGGTGGATTCTGAATGATTAAAAATAATAATAACCAAAGAGAAAAGAAGTAGTGGATGAGGTTGGCAGAGATGAGGAACTGCCATTTCTCCAAAGCTCTGAACCAAAAGCAAAGACTCATTTGAATGTTTTACCAAGCTTGAGTACTTTACAAAACTTGAAAGTGTGCAAGAGCAAAGAGGTATCATTTAGCACACTATAAATAGCATCTTCTTTAAAAATGTTGTACACATTTCTCATATTTGAAAGTAAATAACCTGAGATTTAAAACATCTGTCAAACAATCTGTGAATGTTATGTGCCATTTTAATACATTTTGACATTATTTCATGTTGAAACATACTTTCTCTGATTGTATTGACTGGATTATATAGAACCTCTTTGACTGACTTAGTCTATAACTTGCCCAGATAAAATGTACATTGCAAGTAAATAAAATATGGGTGATATGGGAATGAAATTTCAAGGCAAGTTTCGTGTATAATCTGTAGCTCCTCTCAAACTATATTACCACTCCTAAGACATCCTTTATCTGATACGAATGCCTAATAAGGAGCAACATTTCTTTTTATGCTATAATTACATTGTACTAATTCTTTTTCTAAAATGGAAATGCATACCATCAAAGAATAAAACAAAATGTTAAGAATTTCACACATTTATATTTGATAAAATGACACTTTGTATTCAAATGACACATTCATTTTTTCCCTACTACTTGAATGAATAAAAACATCCTTTATTGTTCATAAGCATTACATAACGTAATTTTCCAAAATAATAATTATGTACTTTCCAGCAAGTACAAAATCTTTTTAAAATAAACTTTATTTGGGGAAGAGATAATTTAACATATCAATTTCTTCAATTTATAAAAGTGATAATTTCACTCCAATATTTGAAGAATAAACGTATATTTGAAGAAGTACATTTGTAGAATAAAAAGCAACTCTGATTTGATGAGCAATAATAAAATTATTCTATCATCTTTAATATTTAGCCATCAAAAACGAGAAAATTACAGAATATAAAATCCGTGTCCCAAGTCAAAAGTAATTAAATTTACTTGTGTTTTAGAGTAAAAGATTATTAAAGGAAGAAACTATTGCTTATTATACACACACCACACAGACACACACACACACACACACACACATACATATATACCCCTCTACCTTTGTATCATATGCATTAGAGAAATTTTTAGATTTCCTTAAAAGGAAAGGTATGGACTGCCATTTCTCACAACATAGTGAAATGAAAATTTTGTGAAACTTCTAGATCATATTCATAACTGTTGGCATATATGTATTTAAAGTTGATATGATGCAAAATTAATATAATTTTACGGAGACAATTTTTAAAATTGTGAACTTATAAAGATAAAGTAGTTCTAAAAATAGCATTTATATTGTATAGATCTACTGATCCCTGGCTGTCTGGAGGCTGGGATTTACCAAAGGGTCAACATAAAAGACTCAGATAACAAAGCCAAATTTGTAAGCAGAATTAAAGTTTGGATTGAGATGTCTAAATGGAGCTAAGACTTCAAAATTACAAAATCCTCAGTGAGTGGAGCTAAGTAGTAACTGGGGATACATGCATGCTCCAATTTTGACTTTGGGAGAATTAAAAAAAAATCATGAAACTTTTCAACCACAAATTTACATTTTAGATTCGGGGTTAACAACCACCTGGATTTATGACCTGAAACTTCAAGGAGAAACATAATTTAGAATAAGTTTTTGGTTGATAGTACCTTCAAGTCTATTGCAGACAAAGGCAAATACACTGTGGAAGAAAAGATTAATCCAAAACTCAATATTTTCTTGCTTTCTTTTTTTTTTTTTTTTTTTTTGAGATGGAGTTTTGCTCTTGTTGCCCTGGCTGGAATGCAATGGAATGATCTTGGCTCACCATAACCTCTGCTTCCCAGGTTCTAGTGATTCTCCTGCCTCAGCCTCCCAAGTAGCTGGGATTACAGGCATGTGCCACCATGCCTGGCTAATTTTTTTGTATTTTTTTAGTAGAGACGAGATTTCTCCATGTTGGTCAGCCTAGTCTCAAACTCCCGACCTCAGATGATCTGCCTGCCTCAGCCTCCCAAAGTGCTGGGATTACAGGCATGAGCCACTGTGCCCGGCCAATATTTCCTTTAGTAGTAGAGCTTTAGGGTAAGTCTTTTAAAAGTTTATTGTGAGTAAAAAGCCTAATGAGATTTTTTACTAGCATTATATTGAATGTGACAATATAAAATCTTAGAATCTATTAAAATGCTGTACTTCTCCATACAGTATTTAGGCTTTTTTTAATTGGTGTGTTCTAGTTTTCAGTGTATATATCATGAAAACTTTTATTTATATCTAAGTATTTTAGTTTTAGGAGATTTTATATATGCTATTAATTTTATAATTTGAAATAATTTGCTTCATTGCTAGTGTATAAAAATATAATTATTTTTTGTATATTACCTTGCACTCTGCAGCCTTGGAAAACTCATGTATAACTTCTTAGAAGTTTTTATGAGTTGTTTGGGTTTTCTATGCATATAATAATATCACCTGTGAGTTGAAACCATTATTTCTTCCTTTGATTCATTTTCTTTTTCTTGTGTTATTACACTGGTTAAAACTTAAAATACAATGCTGAATATGAACTTTGTTCCCAGTCTTAGAGAATAAGCAAGCATTCAGTCTTTTACTATTAAGTAACATCACAGCTAAAGGCATTTTATTGATACCCTCTATTAGATAAAAAGAAGTTCCACTGTATTCCTAGTTTGCTGAGAATTTTTACCATGAATTAACGTTAAAGTTTGTCAAATGCTTCCACATCTTTTGAGATTGACATATCATTTTTGGATGATAAGTTGAATTACATTCATGGGGAAAACTGTTGTTCAAAATTATTTTTATATGTTGATAGAATAAATGTATTAGCATTTTGCTAAAGATTTTTGAGTTTATGTTCATAAATATTATTGCTCTATAGTTTTCTAGTATTGTAATTTCTGTGTTGATTTTGATATTTATGTAATGCTAGCCTTATAAAGTTTATTTGGAAGTATTGTTTCATTTTTTCTGAAAGTTGCTGTTTGTAACTGTGCTGTAATTCTCCCTAAAGTGTTTGAAATTTTTCACCATTGAAGATTTCTTTGATTGAAATATTTTTACTACAAATCCAATTTTTAGTAGATACAGGACTATTCAGCTTGTCTGTTGTCTAAGTGAGTTTTCATAATTTGTGCTTTTTTGGAATTAGTTCACTTCAACTATTTGTGGAATTTATACGCATAGAGCTTTTTGAAGAGTTCTTTATATGACAGGCAGAATAATGTCTACCCCCTGAAGATTTCCACATCTTAATTTCCAGAACCTGTGAATATGCAACCTTATATGGCAAAATTGACCATACCAAAGTAATTTAACTAAGAATTTTGAGATGAGATGGTTATCCTGAATTATCCAGGGGAACCCAACTTAATCATAAGGGTTGTCATAAGAGAAAGAAGGTAGTAGAGTCAGAATCAGGGAACATGATGTGGTAACAGAAATAAAAGATAAGGCAATATAAAAATGGAAGCAGGGGTCAAAAGAATGCAGGCAGCCACTAGAAACTAGAAAAGGCAAGGACACAAATTCTCTGCTAGAGTCCTCAGAAGGAATTCAATCTAGCTGATATCTTGGTTTGAGGGCTTCTGATCTCTAGAACCATAGGAATCAATATCTACTGCTTTAAGCTAGTAAGTTTGTGGTAATTTATTGCATTAGAAAATTAGCACACCTTAGTATACTTTTAATGGCTGTGTGGCCCATAGTGGTGGCCCCTCTTTATTTTTGATATTGGTTATTGTCTTAACTCCTTGTCTACTTGCTCAGTTTGGCTAGAGTTTCTTCAGTTTTATAGATGTTTTAACAAAAAACTATCTTTCCATTTCACTGATTTTTTCAATTCTTTGTTCCAATTTAATTATTTTCATCTCAAGTTTTAATTTCTTTGTTGTTTTTATTTATTTATTTATTTATTGATGTGGAGTCTCACTCTTGTCACCCAGGCTGGAGTGCAATGGCACAGTCTCGTCTCATTGCAACTTCCACCTCCTGGGTTCAAGTGATTCTCCTGCTTCAGTGACCCAAGTAGCTGGGATTACAGGTGACCACCACCACGCCTAATTAATTTTTGTATTTTTAGTAGAGATGGTGTTTCACCATGTTGACCAGCCTGGTCTTGAACTCCTGACCTCAGGTGATCCTCCAGTCTCGGCCTCCCAAAGTACTGGGATTACAGGCACGAGCCACTGCACCTGGCCTATTTCTTATTTCTAGTAATTTTGAATTTAATCCTCTATCCTTTCCCTAGTTTCTTAAGGTGAAAATTTTATTTATTGATTTGACACAGGTTTTTTTCTGCTATATGCATTTGAGACCAAAAGAAATCTCTAAACAATGCTTTAGAATAATTCTACACATTTGGATCTGTTGCATTTTCATTTTCATTCACTCCAAAATATTTGCAAATTTATCTTGAGAATTTCGCTTGACTCATGAGTTACTTAGAATACTTTTGCTAGTTTTCAAAAAACTGGAGATTTTTCAGTTATCTTCCTATTACTGATATATATATTTTTTTGAGACAGAGTCTCTGTTGCCCAGGCTGGAGTGCAGTGGCTCAATCTCGGCTCACTGCAACCTCCACCTTCCAGGTTCAAGCAATTCTCCTGCCTCAGCTTCCCAATTACCTAGGACTACAGATGTGTGCCACTACACCCACTAATTTCTTTTTTTTTTTTTTGGTATTTTTAGTAGAGACAGGGTTTCACTGTGTTAGCCAGGATGGTCTCAATCTCCTAACCTCATGATCCGCTTGCCTCAGCCTCCCAAAGTGCTGGGATTACAAGTGTGAGCCACCATGCCTGGCCTCTATTACTGTTTTTTAACTTAAACATATTATCATGACAACACATACATTGCATGATTTCTAGTCTTTTAAATTTTTTAAAGTTTCTCCAAAAATAGTATGTCTTGGTTAATGTTAAATGTATACTTGAGAAGAATGTGTATTTTATTGCACAGTGGTGTGTACTATAAATGTCAGTGAACAAAAAACAATAAATTTGTAAAAATCACTTTTAGACGTATCTTTTTTTTTTTTTTTTTTTTTTTTAGACAGAGTCTGGCTCTGCCACCCAGGCTGCTGGAGTGCAGTGGCGCAATCTCGGCTCACTGCAAACTCCACCTCCCAGGTTCATGCCATTCTCCTGCCTCAGCCCCCGGAGTAGCTGGGACTACAGGCACCCGCCACCACACCCGGCTAATTTTTTGTATTTTTAGCAGAGACGGGGTTTTGCCATGTTAGCCAGGATGGTCTCAATCTCCTGACCTGATGATCCACCCGCCTCGGCCTCCCAAAGTGCTGGGATTACAGGCATGAGCCACCACGCCCGGCTAGACATATCTTAATAAAAATAATAGAAATATGAAATAAAGAAAATCATCTGAAGGCAGCTAGAGTAAAGTGACACAATGCATGACACATGGTAGAACATATCCATTAGTATAAATGACTACAGGTGTCACATAAGAAAAACTAAATGATAGAAAACAGTGAAAAAAGATTTTAAAGGAAAAATGTGAAAATAAAATTCTATAACTAATGAAAATATTCTTTATATGTAAATGCAAAATGAAGATTTTTTATATGAAGTCAATTGCCAGCAGACTTGCAGCAATTTACAAAAATGCTAAAGGAATTCTTCAGGCTGAAGAGAATTAATACTAGAGGGCCAATCAGATATTCAGGAAAGAGCGAGGATCAATAGAAATAGGTGGAAACACATAAAATAGTACATTTTTTTCTCTTAAGTTTTCAAAATTAATATGTATTTTAAATGTAGTTAATATTTGCTGGTAAGTTTTTAAAATACAAATACATTGAATGCATATAAGCACTATAACATAATAGTTCATGGGGAAGAAGAACTTATTCATTCTTAAGGTTTCTATCTTTTCTGTGAAGCGATACAATATTAATTCTAAATAGTCTGTGAAAAGCTTAATATGAAGATTACAATTTCCAGAGCTACCTCTTAAAAAAGAAATAATTCAAAGAAAGCAGTTAGGTGCAGTGGCTCACACCTGCAGCCCCAGTACTTTGGGAGGAAAAGGTGGGTTGATCACCTGAGGTCAGGAGTTTGAGACCAGCCTGACCAACATGGTGAAACCCTGTCTCTATTAAAAATACAAAAATTAGCTGCAGGTGGTGGTGGATGGCCATAATCCCAGCTACTCAGGAGGCTGATGCAGGAGAATCACTTGAACCTGGGAGGCGGAGGTTGCAGTGAGCCAAGATTGTGCCATTGCACTTCAGCCTGGGTGACAGAGTGAGACTCAATCTCAAAAAATATATATAATAATAATAATATTTTTAAGAAAGCCAAAAAGAAAATAGGCAAATTATAAAGGGATAATTAGAAAAATACAAATAAGCCAAAAGAAGGCAGTAAAAGAGAAACACTGGAGCAACAACAAAACAGATGGAGCAAACAGGAAATAAAGACTAAAATGATGAACTTAAATTGAACCACATCAATCTTTACATCAGATGTTAATCATCTAAATACTTCAATTAAAAGCAAGAGATTGGCAGAATAGATTAGAAAGGAAAAAAGCAAGATCTTACTGCATGCTGCTTACAAGAAACCAATTTTAAATATAAATATGCAGAAAGGTTGAATATAATGGAAGAAAACTGATAAACCCACACAAATTGTGCACATCAGAGGACTGGTGTATCCATTTAAATAAAGGATTAAGCAGACTCCAATATCATGAGTATTACTAGAGAGATAAATAAAGATCTTTTACAATAAAAAGTAAGACAATTCATCAGGAAGATATAACAATTATAAATACGTTCCTATAAACAGTCTCAAGATAAAAGAAAATAAAATGGAGATCAAAGTAGGCCAAAAGTAAATAAGATGGGGGACTAATTTTAAAAAACATAAATTGATGAAATAATAAAACAGACATGTTTTAGAAGATTAACAGTGCAAAAACTGGTTCTTTGAAAAGATCAGCTAATTACCAAACTGCTACTTAAATTGATCAAGAAAAATAAGGAGGAAACACAAATAACTCAATATCAGGGATAAAATATTTCAAATATAGGTCTGATAGACATTAAAATGATTTTAATAGACTAAACCATATTACATCAATAATTTTTATAAGTTCAATCAAATATGTGTATTTCCTGAAAAATATAACTTACTGAAATTGACATAAGAAATAAAAATAGATTCTGAAAGTCATTATATCTATGAAGTTAATGGAATTTATCATGAAAAAAAATCACAGATAGGAAAATCCTTCTGGCTTAAAGAAGTTTACTGATTAATTCTATCAAGTATTGAAGAAACAAAAAATACCAAACTTATACTAACTATTTTAGCAAGTTGTGGAGGAATGGTCACTGTATATTTCATTTAAGTTGTCCAATTTCTTAACATGCTTTTTGAGGGCAACATAACCCTAATATGAAAACCTTACAAACATGATGCAAAAGTGAAAAGCACAGATCAATTTCACTTATGAATATGAATGAATATATTTACAAAATATTAGCAAATCTAAACTCAATGTATATAAAAAGAATGGTATATCACAACCAAGCAGCAATTATTTAAAGGACTTAAAGTTTTAAACATTTGAAAACCACACAATGAAGTTTATAATATCAAACAACAATAATAAAAGTTACATGATAATTGCAATAGATTTAGAAAAAGCAAGATTAGATAATACAAGATTGCTATACAAAAATCAGCTATATTATTTTACATTAGATTCAAAAAATTCGGAAATAAAGAGAGGAAAACACTTTAATTTACAGTAAAGCCTAGAAACAACAACAACAAAAACAATTAGAACTAAGTTTAAGAAAAAGCATTAATGAACTTTACACAAATGTTATTAAAGAAATTTTTTAAAAGACCTAAGCAATTGTGAAGATATACCATATTCATGATTGGAAGACTCAGTATTCCCTTAGGATGTCAATTCTTGGCTGGGCATGGTGGCTCATGCCTGTATTCCCAGCACTTTGGGAGGCTGATTAGGGCAGATCACAAGGTCAAGAGACAGAGACCATCCTGGCCAACATGGTGAAACCCCATCTCTACTAAAAATACAAAAATTAGCTGGGTGTGGTGGCATGCTACTCAGCGTCCCAGCTACTCAGGAGGCTGAGGCAGGAGAATCACTTGAACCTGGGCGGCAGATGTTGCAGTGAGTCGAGACCGTGCCACTGCACTCCAGCCTGGCGACAGAGTGAGACTCCATCCAAAAAAGTAAAATAAAAGTAAAAATAAAGCTGTCAATTCTTTCCTAATTGAGTTGTAGTTCCAAATGTCAGTAAATATTATAGCAGTTTACTATTTTTTTGGTAGAAATTGCCAAGTATACTCTGAAATGTATGTGAAAATGCAAAGCACCTAGAAAATAACCAAAGCTGTTCCCAAAATAAAGGAAAAGTTAAGAGAATTTATCCCACCTCACTTGGAGACTTAGTATAAAGATACAGGAATCAAGACACTCTGTTATTGGAGAAAATAGATGATAGATGATTGATAGATAGATAGATAGATAGATAGATAGATGTAAAATCTACAAATAGGTGCCAAGGCAATGCAATGGGGTAAGAAAGTCTTTTGACAAATGGTATTGAGTTACCTGACTATCCTTGTAGAAATAAGTGAGCACTTACTCTAACTTCATGCAATACTCACATCATATAAAACCAAATTAAGTTTAACTTCATCAAAATTTATAATTTGATTTATAGCTGGAAATAAAACCTAAAACTATAAAACTATTTTTTGTTACAATTAGTTATTTCTGTAACAAACGGCTGTTATTGTGTTGGTACATTGATCATATATTCTGCAACCTTGCTAACTCTCTTATTAGTAAAAATACTGTATCTGTTTATTTTCCTTCATTATCAGCTACAAATATATATCAGCTACAAATGATAATTATATATTTCCCTTCAAAACTCATACTATATCTCTCTTTTTAGGCTATTATCTTATTATTGACAAAGCATTCCAATATGGTATTACATAAGAGAGGAACTTTGGTTATAGGTACCTTTTTCCTTATTCCTAAACAAATGTGTCTCAAGTTATAGCATAAACTGTAATTTTTATTGTAGATTCTAGTAAAAAGCAAAAATAAAAATATTATTTTATGGAAGTTTATTTTTATTCTATTATTTTCCAATATGTTTAATATAAATATGTATTGAACACTAAGAAATGCCTTTTACATTTATTGACATAATAATTAGCTTCTTTAGTTTTTTAATGTAATTAATTATATTAATAGGTTGTATTAAATCATATCTGTGTTCTTTACCTAACACTTATCTGGAATTTTTATTATCTAATACTTATCTAGAATTCATTCATTATCTAACGCTTATCTGGAATTTTTTTACATCAATGTTTCTGTATAATATAGGCTTATTTCTTTTCTAGTACTGTACTTATTCATGACTGGTAATGAAATTAATACATTTTATATTTGTATAATTTTAGTTGATACCTTCTCCCTCCACTCTGAATTTTTTTCTTAATGAAGCTGAAGCAAGGGAATGGCATTAATTATCTAAGTGCCTAAGTATCTGATGCTAGAGAATGGCATTATCAGATTTGCATTTTTTAAAGGTCGTTTGGATATAAGAGTCGAGAACTAATTTGAGGGCACTAATATTGTTAGAGTCAGGGAAAGCAATTGAGAGAGTGAATTTTTTGTAGTTTTGATTTGTATTTTCCTGATGATTAGTGATGTTGAGCATATTTTTATATATTTGCTGACTATTTGTAGGTCTTGTTTTGAGAAACATCAGTTCAGATAATTTGCCCATTTTTAAATTAGATTTTTTTTGCCATATAAATGTTTGATTCCTTGTATATTCTGAATATTAATCCCCTGTCTGACGAATAGTTGACAAATATTTTCTCCCATTCTGTAGGCTGTCTTTGCTCTCTGTTGATTGTTTACTTTGTTGTACAGGAGCTTTTTAGTCTAATATAATTCCATTTGTTTATTTTGCTTTTATTGCCTGCACTTTTAAACTGTTAAATATTTTCAAAGACCAGTGAAGTATCATCTCATCTGGTTAGGGTGGGTATTATCAAAGAGACAAAAAAAAAATGCTGGTGAGGATGCAGATAAAATGAAACACTTATACACTCTTGGTGAGAATGTAAACTTGTACAGCCTCTATGGTGAACAGTATAAAGTTTCTTCAAAAACTACAAGTAGAACTACCATATGATCCAGCAATCCCAATACTGGGCATTTATTCAAAGTCAAGGATATTGAAGAGACATCTGCACCCTGATGTCTGTTGCAGCACTATTCACAATAGTAAGATTTGGAATCAACCTAGGTTCCCAACAACAGATAAATGAATTTTTAAAATGTGGTAATATACACAATGGAATACAATTCAACCATAAAAACAATACAATCCTGTCATTTGTGGCAAAGTAGATGGAAATGAAGGACATTGTTAAGTGAAAGAAGTCAGGAACAGAAAATTAAACACCATATGTTCTCACTCACATGTGTGAGAAACAAAAAGCCCCCAACCAACTGAGCATACCTTCTCCTGACCAAGGAGACACCAGAGAAACCTTGAAAACAGAGTTCTCAGGCATGGCAGGATAGGAGATTGGACATGCCTCATTATACTCCTCTCTCGCTAACTCCCATTAGGCTTTCTTCCCTAAAGGCTAAAAGAAAACCAGCCATTTCAGAGGACTCCACTACCACTCATGTCAACCAGACACTTGATGTTGCCCCCTCCTTTTATTTGCAGAATGACCACAGAGTGGGGTTCTGGCCAGTCTATGTGAATGTGCAGTGAGGATTTTTATGTCCTCTGCTTCACCTTTTTACACTGAAGTGCCAGAAATTTCACACTCAAATCATACTAACACACCATTTCTTTGTCCAGGGACCCATGAAGGGTCATAACACTCAATTCCTCATGCACATGTTTCTCCTTTCATAAATATTCATGAGTCCTCCTATAGCTTATTAAATATGTATATTTGACCACCCCATTTAGCATAAATTCCTATTTTCTTTGCCTCTCTCTTGAAGTGTCTGTTTCTAGACTTCACCTCTCCTACTCTTCAGTGCACATGTGTGTATGCATCCTGCCATCTCACCACTGTCAGTGGGAGCACAACTCTCAGTCCCACCCCTACTAACATGCAGGCACCCCACCATGCCACCAGGACGGGCATGAATGCTGGCAACACTGTCTCTGCCAGCAAACTACCCCTGCTATGCCACCACTGCAATCATGTGCAAGAATGCTTCCACCCCACTCCCATTGGTGCCCCACCAAAGCCAATGCACATGCACCCCAACATGCCACTGTTGAGGACCAACCAAAATATTCAGGACCTGAACTAGACACTTGACCAAATGGAACTAACAGATATCTACAGAACTCTCCACCAAAAAATAACAGAGTGTACATTCTGTGCCATTGTGACTGCTGAGACACACAAGTGAGCATGGGTTCTGCTGTCACTGCCAAGATGAAGTGCTTTGGCCAACACCATCCACTGAAGTGCTGTGGTCAGCAGACTGAGAACTCCTCAGGCCCTCCATCACAACAAGTTCCCAACCACCAGGGGCCAGAAAACAGAGCTGGGGACCTGTTACCAGCCCCAGAGTTAGAGTACACAGCCCAGGAGTGCTGAGGTGTGCTTTGGTCCCCTAACATGTTCCAGAAGCAAAACCAGTCAACCCACTTTATACCACAATCAAACCTCCAAGGGCATCAAAGAAGAAAAAGGCAAAAAAAAAAAAAAAAGCCATCCAAAGGATAGCACCTTAAAAAATAAAAGGAATAGCAGCACATAGAGATGGGAAAGAACCAGTGCAAGAACTCTGGCAACTCAAAAAGCCAGACAGGGCATGGTGGCTCATGCCTGTAATCCCAACACTTTGGGAGGCTGAGGCAGGTAGATCACCAGGTCAGGAGATCGAGACCATCCTGGCCTACATGGTGAAAGCCCGTCTCTACTAAAATACAAAAAAATTAGCTGGGCATGGTGGTGCATGCCTGTAGTCCCAGCTACTCAGGAGGCTGAGGCAGGGGAATTGCTTGAACCAGGGAGGCGGAGGTTGCAGTGAGCCGAGATTATGCCACTGCACTCCAGCCTGGCAACAGAGCAAGACCCCGTCTCAAAAAAAAAAAAAAAAAAAAAAAAAAAGTCCGAGTGTCTTCCTACCTCCAAATGACAGCATTAGTGTCTTAGCAATGGTTTTTAACCAAGCTAAAATGGCTGGAATGCCAGATGTAGAATTCACAATATGGATAGGAATGAAGAACATTGAGATTCAGGGAAAAGCCATAACCCAATCCAAAGAATCTAAGGAATACAATAAAATGATACAAGAACTGAAAGAAGAAATGGCCATTTTAATAAGGAACCAAACTGATATGATAATGCTGAAAAACTTACTGCAATAATTTCACAATAGAATTGCAAGTATTAACAGGCAAAGTGAACAAGCTTAGGAATGGATCTCAGAGCTGGAAGACTAGTTCTCTGAATTAACTCAATCCAATAAAAATAAAGAAAAAAATGAAGAAAACCCAGGAGAAATATGGGATCAAGTAATGAGAAAAAATTTATGACCCATTGACATTCCTGAAAGAGAGGGAGAGAAAGCAAGCAACTTGGAAAACATATGTGAGGATGTTGTCCATGAAAATTTCCCAAACCTCACTAGAGAAGCCAACATTAAAATTCAGGTAAGGCAGAGAGCCCTTGTGACATACTATACAAGATGACATCCCCAAGACACATAATCTTCAGATTTCCCAAGGTCAAAATAAAAGAAAAAAACGTTAATGGCAACCAGAAGGAAGGGGCAGATCACCTACAAAGGTAACCCCATCAGGCTAACTGCAGACTTTTCAGCAGAAACTCTCTGAGCCAGAAGAGAGAAATAATAGTGGGAGGCTTTGCCATTCCACTGACCTTATTAAACAGATCACTGATACAGAAAACTAATCAAAATATTCAGGACCTGAACTAGACACTTGACCAAATGGACCTAACAGATATCTATAGAACTCTCCACTAAAAAACAAGAGTATACGTTCTTCTCATCTGTACATGGCATGTACTCTAAAATCGGCCGTAAAACAATTCTCAGTAAATAAAAAAAATACTGACATCATACCAAGTGCACTATTAGATCACACAGCAAAATAAAAATAGAAATCAACACTAAGTTCGCTGAAGACCATACAATTACATGGAAATTTTACAATGTGCTCCTGAATGACTTCTGGATAAACAATAAAATTAGGCCAGAAAACAAGAAATTCTTCGAAACTAATGAAAACAAAGACACAACATAGCCGAATGTCTGTGACACAGCCAAAGCAGTGTTGAAAGGAATGTTCATAGCACAAAATGCCCACTTCAAAAAGTTAGAAAGAATTCAAATGAACAACCTAACATCAAACACAGAGAAACTAGAAAAACATGAGAAAATGAACCCCAAAGCTATTAAAGGACAAGAAGTAACCAAAATCAGAACTAACTGACTGCAATTGAGATGTGAAAAACCATACAAAAAATCAATGAGTCTAGAAGTTGGTTTTTTGAAAGTATAAATAAGATTGATAGACTGCTATCTAGATAATTAAAAAGAGAAGTTCCAAATAAACACAATCAGAAATGACAAATGCTTCTAGACTTGATAAACAACTTCAGCAAAGTTTCAGGATACAAAATCGACATAAAAAAATCACTAGCATCCCTGTATAAAAAGAACATACAAGCTGAGAGCCAAATAAGGAACACCATCCCATTCACAATATGTACAAAAAAAAATAAAATACCTAGAAATACAGCTAACCAGGGAGGTGAAAGCTCTCTATAATGAGGATTACAAAACACTGCTGAAAGAGATCAGAGATTATACAAACAAATGAAAAAGTATTATGCAGCCATAAAAAATGATGAGTTTATGTCCTTTGTAGGGACATGGATGAAGCTGGAAACCATCATTCTCAGCAAACTATCACAAGAACAGAAAACCAAACACTGCATGTTCTCACTCATAGGTGGGAATTGAACAATGAGAACACATGGACACAGGAAGGGGAACATCACACACCGGGGCCTGTTGTGGGGTTGGGGTCGGGGGAGGGATAGCATTAGGAGATATACCTAATGTTAAATGACAAGTTAATGGGTGCAGCACACCAACATGGCAGATGTATACATATGTAACAAACCTGCACGCTGTGCACATGTACCCTAAAACTTAGAGTACAATAAAAAAAAAGACAAAAGAAAAAAAAAAGAAAAATATTTCATGTTCATGGATAGGAAGAGTCAATATCATTAAAATGGCCATAGTGCCCACAGGAATTTACAGATTCAATGCAATTCCTATCAGATACCAACGAGATTCTTCACAGAATTTGAAAAAAAAAAAAAACTATTTTAAAATTCCTATGAAACCT
This sequence comes from Homo sapiens, assembly GCF_000001405.40. Classification (NCBI taxonomy): domain Eukaryota; kingdom Metazoa; phylum Chordata; class Mammalia; order Primates; family Hominidae; genus Homo; species Homo sapiens. The sequence goes on from NW_013171806.1 coordinate 156,842, forward strand.
AAAATGAGTCTGAGTAGCCAAAGCAATTCTCAACAAAAAGGACAAAGCTGGAGGTGTCATATTACCCAACTTCAAACTCTGTTACAAGGCTACAGTAATGAAAACAGCATGGTACTGGTACAAAAACAAACACACAGACCAATGGAAGAAAAAGGGAGCCAAGAAATAAAGTCCCACACCTATAAACATCTAATCTTCAACAAAGTTCACAAAACCAAGCAATGGGGAAATGAGTCCATATTCAATAAATGTTGCTGAGATAACTGGCTAACCATATTCAGAAGACTGAAACTGGACCCTTTCCTTAGGCCATATGCAAAAATCAATTCAAAATAGATTAAATACTTATATGCAAAAACTATAAAAACCCTGGAAGATACATAGACCCTGGTAAAGATTTCATAACGAAGATGCTAAAAGTCTTTGCAACAAAAACAAAAACTGACAAATGTGACCTAATTAAACTAAAGCGATTCAGCACAGCAAATGAAATTATCAACAGCAAACTGACAACCTACAGAATAGAAGAAAATAATCGTAAACTGTGCATCCAACAAAGGCCAAATATCCAGAATCTATAAAGAACTTAACAAGCAAAACAAAATAACCTTATTAGAAAGAGCAAAGGAAATGAACCGATGCTTCTCAAAAGAAGACATACATGCAGCCAACAAGCATATGAAAAATCACCCACATCACTTACAATTATAGAAATCAAATCTAAACCACAATGAGATATACCCTCTCACACTCAGAATAGCTATTATTAAAAAGTCAAAAGATAACAGATGCTGGTAATGTTGAAGAAAAAAGAGAATACTTTTATACACTGCTGGTGGGAATGAAAATTCATTTAGCCATTGTGTCAAGCAGTTTGGTTATTTCTCAAAGAACAAAAAATGGAACTATCATTTGACCCAGCAATCCCATTACTGGGTATATATGCAAAGAAATATAAATCATTCTACCATAAAAATATATGCAAACATATGTTCATCACAGCACTATTCAATAATAATGAAGACATAGAATAGACCTAAATGCCCATCAGCAGTAGACTGTTAAAGAAAATGTGGTACATACACACCATGAAATACTACACAGCCATAAAAAGAATGAGATCGTGGTGTTTGCAGCAACACGAATGAAGCTGAAGTCCATTATCCTAAGCAAATTAATACAGGAAGAGAAAATCAAGTTGCAGGAAGTCAGGGACCCCGAACGGAGGGACTGGCTGGAGCCATGGCAGAGGAGCATAAATTGTGAATTCTTATGCCTGTCTTTACTTTAATCTCATAATCCTGTTATCTTCGTAAGCTGAGAATGTAAGTCACCTCAGGACCCTGTGATGATTGCATTAACTGTACAAATTGATTGTAAAACATGTGTTTGAACAAAATGAAATCTGATTGTAAAACATGTGTGTTTGAATAATATGAAATCAGTGCACCTTAAAAAAGAACAGAATAACAGTGATTTTAGGGAACAAGGGAAGAAAACCATAAGGTCTGACTGCCTGTGGGGTCTGGCAAAAAGTGCCATATTTTTCTTCTTGCAGAGAGCCTATAAATGGACGTGCAAGTAGGAGAGATATCACTAAATTCTTCTCCTAGCAAGGAGTATTAAATATTAAGACCCTAGAAAAAAATAAAAAAAAAATTGCATTCCTTGGGGGAGTTCTATAAACGGCTGTTCTGGGAGTGTCTGTCTTATGCAGTTGAGATAAGGACTGAAATACGCCCTGGTCTCCTGCAGTACCCTCAGGCTTACTAGGATTGGGAAATTCCAGCCTGGTAAAATTTGGTCAGACTGGTTCTCTGCTCTCGAACCTATTTTCTGTTAAGATGTTTACCCAGACAATACATGCACAGCTGAACATAGACCCTCATCAGTAATTCTAATTTTGCCCTTTGCCTTGTGATCTTTGCTTTGCCCTTTGCCTTGTGATCTTTATTGGCCTCAGAAGCATGTGATCTTTGTGACCTACTCCCTGTTCATACACCCCTTCCCCTTTTGAAATCCTTAAAAAAAGTTGCTGGTTTTGCAGCTCAGGTGGGACATCACAGACCTACCAATATGTGATGTCACCCCCGGCGGCCCAGCTGTAAAATTCCTCTCTTTGTACTCTTTTTCTTTATTTCTTAGACCAGCCGACACTTAGGGAAAATAGAAAGAACCTATGTTGAAATATTGGGGGATGGTTCCTCCGAAAAAACCAAATACCACATATTCTCATGTATAAGTGGGAGTTAAGCATTGAGTACATATGGACACAGAAAAGGGAACAGACACCAGGGCCTATGTAACAGGGGAGTGTGGGAAGTAGGGTATGGATTGAAAAACTACCTATCAGGTATTATGCTGATTACTTGGGTGAGAAAAGTATCTGTATACCAAACCCCCAGAACACACAATTTGCCTATATAACAAATCTGCACTTGTTATGTATTTGCCTATATAACAAACCTGGACTGAACCTAAAAGAAAAGTTAGAAAGTAAATAAATCATTATTTTAAAGAGTTTTTTTTCTTCTTTTTATTATTATGAGTGGAAATGATGAGGTAGTGGGAAGAGGTAAGAATTTTAAGAGCTGTAAATAAGGTAAGATGAGATCCATATAATTTTGTGGCCATTACGTAAGTGAGGCAAAGCATGATGAAGCTTACATTTTTCCAGTTGGGAACCTGATAAAACCATTGCTTAGATATGGAATATGGAATAAAAATAGTGGCCACAAAAATGGTTATAATAATTTTTATGTATGTATAATAATTGGTAGTCATTTAGGATTTATAGGTATAGGCCTTTAAGGTGAAATTAATTCTGGAGATTTCTATTTGAAAGAGGATAGAGATTATGATTTTACCACAGGAATAGATGAAAATATTTCACATTCAGTGAGTAATTTAACAGAAAGCAAGAGTTCCACGAATTTTGAGGTAAATTACAGGACAGTTGTGAAAACTATGATTTAGCCTTGGTTTTTGTTTGTTTTTCAGTTAGCAATACTTCTTGCTGAGTTGTATTTCACAGTCAATGCAATGATGGCTCCAAATTTGAGCCCTCAAAATTGTGGAATTTAAGGAATCCCCTGAAAAATTATTTACATGGTACCTGGACTGCAGTCAGCCCTCCATATTCATACTTCTGGATCTCAGGCTACAAAATGGGTACTTTAATAGAGAAATTAGCACACATGTGACAGGTTTCTCTTTTGCAGCCCTGATATGTAATTCAGGGCAGAAATGACAATATAAATGCAATATCTTGAGTAGGATTCTCTGCACCTTTGTGAGCTAATAGAGAGGAATCTGCCTAAGATTGTAATGTTGGCAGGGAATAGATTTGATTCTGAGCCCACCTGAAGTAAGAAGAGCCTTTGTTAAATGGCTTAACACCTTGTTATATAAAGAGAACACAGGCCCTATCTTTACAGAAAATGTATCCAAGCAATCCTTGTTCTTGTGCAAGTGAACGCTAATGCTTCATTCTTAAAATTTCACCTATGGAAAGAGTATCATGTAAACTCTTTTCATTCCCCAAAGTGGCTGCTATGGAAACAAGTCCTGATGCATGACAGAGGAGGAAAGCTATCAGTCCTGTGGTTAAAGAGGGGACATTTCCACTAGATTTCCAATTGCATATGGAATCAAGAAAGAAGCAACTGGGAATTACTTCACACAGCAAATCTAAGGAAGAGACTGTTAATTTGGCTTTGCCAGTTACTCCTTCTCAAGGCCCATAATTAAATGTGAGTTTCTGGGCACTAATGCAAAAGCCAGATTTGCTCTGAGCCTGCGGGGCTTATAAATTGGTTGCTTTTGCAAACTGTTATTGTTCCTTTAGGTCAAGAGGGGAAGAATTATTGACTTTGTTCAGTTGAATTAAATGCTCCCCTTGTGGTTTGAAAGAAGAAATTTGCCTCCCTCACCCTCTAAGATTACATACAAAGGGAGAATTGTTTTTGGGCAAGTTAGACTTGATGAAAAAATATACAGTTCTACTGGATTATAGCACTGTGTGTTGCCTTAGAGTCACATGACTCCAGTTTTGCCTTCTATATGAAGCCCAAGGCTTTCATCTTTTTCTGATACAGTGGGCTCTTCAGCTTTAAGCACTGACTTTTGTGTGCTAGTATACAATGCCTGTACACTCCCACAAAAAGCTCAAGATGTCCTTACACGTATTTGCTGTAGGTGTCCTTCAGCCGATTTCAGTGCCTAGAATCTAGATGCTTTGCACCTAGTTTCACCTTTGCTCACAGATGCTAGTGCCTTTTAGAATCCCAAGAGGCCAAAGTAAAACTGAAAAGCCTAGGAGGACCTGGTGTGGCAAAATCTCATCATGATCCATGCAACAGTGGAGGCAATGTTACGCTCTGCCTCAGGTTATACTTCTATGCAAATTAAAAATAAAATTCATAGGAAGCAATTATATTAGAGTTGGTATTTAATCCAGCATTCTTCTGAATTATCTTACATATAAACTTAGTTCATCTTAATATGAGAATTATATAATAAATTTGAGGAAATCTTACAGATTTGTTCAAAATATGCTTGCTGAATAAATAAATTAATAGTATATGCTAGCACAGTGTATGCATGTGTGTTGCATGTGTGTGTATGTGTATATAATGGCTAATTTTTAATATTACCTATACTAATGCCTCTAAAAGTTAAATCTTGATATACACTAGAGCAAGATTGTCCAACCCACAGCCCATTGACCACATGCAGCCCAGGATAGCTTTGAATGTGGCCCAAAACAAATTCATAAATTTCCTGAAAACATTATGAGATTTTGTTGTGATTTTTTTGTTTTCAGCTCATCAGCTATTGTTAGTGTTATTGTTAGTGTTAGTGTATTTTATCTGTGGTCCAAGACAATTCTTCTTCCAATGTGGCCCAGGGAAGCCAAAAGGTTGGATACCCCTGCATTAGAGTAAATACTTTGCATTCATAAATGAAATACAAAAAAGAGTAGTATAATAATTCAACAAAATATTTCTGCCTTTAATACTTATGAGACATATTTAACCTAAATTTAAGCATTTTATTGGGCAAGTCACCATTTCCCTTTAAAAATTTGTATATTCCAAAAAAATTAGCCAGGCACGGGGGCACGTACCTGTAATCCCAGCTACTCAGGAGGCTGAGGCAGGAGAATCACTTGAACTCAGGAGGCAAAGGTTGCAGTGAGCTGAGATGGTGCCACTGCACTCCAGCTGGGTGACAGAGCAAGACTCCGTCTCAAAAAAAAATATATGTATATTCATAATTACAAAATCTCATTCCCCTTTAAAACCATTTTGGTCACCCTGAGAAACCTGAGATAGTTTTGCAACACTAGTTGGTCATATCCTCTGGTTGTTGGCTCCTGAATAAACCTGCATTTCCTCTCATCAACACTTCTCTTTCGAGTTTGGCTTTCGAGCAGCAAGCAGCTGAACCTGGGTTAAGTTACAATTTTTGGTGCCCAACATGGGATTGTAAACTTCAAGTGGTCTAGCTTGCCTGGTATCCAACAGATGGAGCAACTGGGAACAGCAGCGTTCACACTACCAAGCAAAGCATCAATCACTTTGAATGCAAGCTACTTGTTGCTAGCTGACCCCATAGCTGGGATTCTAGAGACACCCCAGCTGCCAAAATTGCTTTGGCTTGGGGGATCTCCCTTCTTTCCTCTTCCCAGCATCAGCTGCCTGCAACACTTCACTGGTGTTAGGAAAAGTGGTGTGTCTGGGGAAGCTGACATGCTCCAGGACTGAGTAGGTCACTCTGGTGTGTAGAGTTAACAACTCCTTTTACCTCGTATTTGGGTTTTTCCTTGGAATAAGCCACTTTGTGTATTGACTGGAGTACCCTATTGGAGAGGGGAATAGCTATTGGATTTTTCTTTTTTTTTTAGATGAAGTCTCCCTCGGTCGCCCAAGCTGGAGTGCAGTGGTATGATCTCGGCTCACTGCAAGCTCCACCTCCCGGGCTCGTGCCATTCTCCTGCCTCACCGTCCCGAGTAGCTGGGACTACAGGCACCTCCCACCATGCCCAGCTAATTTTTTTTTTTTTTGTATTTTTAGTAGAGACAGGGTTTTACTATGTTAGCCAGGACAGTCTCCATCTCCTGGCCTTGCGATTCGCCCACCTCGGTCTCCCAAAGTGCTGGGATTACAGGCATAAGCCACTGTGCCCGGCCAGCTATTAGATTTTTACCCAATTTGAGAACCAGTTCATTTGCATTTGTCTTCCAGTTGTCTTTGTGGGCTCTGGGGTTACATCTTTAAAAAAATGGGAAAGTTAAAAGACATGCCAGGTTTTCTGGGACTCTAGATGGTTATATACTATGGCCCATTTTTGCACATTTTAAACTGATCAGCAAATTACAGCAAGAAAAATTCAGAACTCAAATGGTTAACTTGCAATTATAGAGTTAAGTAAAGTCTTCTAAAACTCTCTATCTGTTTTTCTCTTTATTTTTCTGCCTACTTTGAATCTACTGTGAGAGGAAATAGCTTTGTAAGCTATTGGTGTTGGGATAAAACTCACTGTTTATGCTGACACCAATTCAAGGTTACTTGGAGATTTTGTTTTTCTTATACAGTTAAGTCAGTTCTAGCTAAAACATAAACACTGCAAACTCATTTGAAACTGAAGGGAAAAGGGGGTGGTGGTAAAAGAGGCTTTTCTAAATTATTAAACTTCCCTGAAATGTGCTTGACCCAAAATTTTGGTCCACAACCTTCACTGGATTACCAATCAGACAAAGTTTAGCCATGTGGACAGGTCTCAATTTTGTCAGAAATAATTTGGATCCAGCTATGTCTTTTATAGGCTGGTGACTTTGTGATGCTGTCTTATGATTAGAGTTCCAAGGTAAAAGATACAGGATCTTTGATTTTGTGTGTATATGTGTTCATATGTGTATGTACATGTATTATGTTAAAGTCATGTCCAGCATGTTGCCAAATTGGCTTATAAGTAAATGATTACTCACAAATTAAGTAAATCCAAATGCTTTTCAAGTTCACATAAATTTAGTAATCTTTGGTAAATAAAAATAATTTTAAAATTATTAGTAAAACAAAACTAGAAATGCCTTTGGAATTGTAAGCATACATTTTTTATGTGGGCTTACAGATTATTTTATATTTTGCCTCTGCTAGAAATTTTAAGGTGTCAGGGGTTGGCACAACCACAAAAGTTATAAGAGTACAAACCCAACCAAAAAAAGAATAATCTTTGTTTATGTGAATTTTTTGACAAATAAGACTAATTTAAGATTGCTAATTCAATAAAAACACCTGAATTTTCTGAGTTATCAGCAAGATGCTCATGTGTTTCACTTTAAGGTTCTTTCTTAGGTGAATACTTGGTATTCCAAGGGTACACTAAATGGTTAACAAGAAAATAACTTGAAATGATGACTAGCTTTGTCTAATATCTCAGTTTTCAGAAATAATTTGGATAAAATGTTAATAATTAAAGAATTTCTGGGTAAAGTGGCTCACACCTGTAATGCCAACACTTTGGGAGGCCAAGGTAGAAGTATTGCTTGAGCTCAGGGGTTCAAAAGCAGGCCCTGGCAACATAGGCCCCTATCTCTAAACAAATTTTCTTAAAATTTAAAAAATATTTTTAGCTGAGCATGTTGGCTCACAACTGTGTCCCCAGATATTCAGGAAATTTAGGTGGAAGAATCACTTGAGTCTGGGAGATTGAAGCTACAGCGAGCCATGAGCATGCCACTTCACTCCAGCCTGGGCAATAGAACAAAACCCTGTCTCAAAAATAAATAAATAAATAAGTACATGTAAATGGGATACATGCTCACTTATAAATTTTGTAATTTAAAATCTTAAAATTATTTTGAATTGAATAGTAGATGCTTGTTGGATGTCTGGGTAATTTTCAATTAAGAAAGGGTTATCATATGGAAAACATGTTACTAAAAATTGTGGAGTGGTTTCATCTATAAAATGTTAACATCTGAGAGTCAGGTAACAATTTGCTGCTTCCTAAAATTTAAGGCTACTAAGAACAAGAATTCTAGTTAATACATAATTCTGTAAGTTGTGTTTTTATTAAGAAAAGAGGTAATTATAAAGTTATGAAAGAAGGTAGGAAGAAACAAGTAGGAGGAATAATGCAAAGATACTTAAGGATATGAAGATGTATTTTTGTAGGGAAAATTATAAAGAAAAAAGAATAATTTTGTATGGAAAGGGATCTTGTATGCTAAATTTTTATCCTAAAGTACAATGACTGGTTTTTTAAAAGAGAGGGAAGTATGGGAAAAACACAAAGTCCAAATGTCATTAATGGTCTCTGTAAGTCATGATAAGGTTTGTGAAATGGAATTTATGAAAGGAATTGTATATGTAAGTTCATTATAATTATAAAGGAAAGTATTTATTTACTCTTAATAAAATTATAAGAGGTTCTTATTTTTAATTCTATGACCTGTCTCCTTTTGAAAACTCCTTAGATTTATATCTTGGAAGTTCAACTTTTGGCCAGGTGCTCATGCCTATAATCCCAGCACTTTGTGCCTCATACCTATAATCCCAGCACTTTGGGAGGCTGAGATAAGAGATTTGGTTGAAGCCAGGAGTTCAAGAATAGCCTAGGCAACATAGTGAGATTCTACCTTCATAAAAACTTAAAAAAATTAAAATTATCAGGACATGATGGCATGTGCCTATAGGCCTAGGTACTTAGGAGACTGAGGTAGGAAGATTGCTTGAGCCCAGCAGGTCAAGGCTGCATTGAGAGCCACAACTGCCGCACTGCATTCTGGCCTGGACAACAGAGGGAGACCTTGTCTCTAAACAAACAAACAAACAAACAAAAAAAACACAAAAGAATTTTCAGCTTTTGCTGTGTATCACTATTTTCGTTGTTTCTCTCCCTTTTAAAAGGCCTGAGATGATCACTCTCTCTCAACTTTTATCTTAGCTCCTGTAACTCTTTTTCTCTGTTTCTAATTGTTGTTGTGGCCTGATGCTAAAATGCTTCATCTTGAGTGTCTAACAAGTAATATTTTCCAAAAATCTAACTTGATTTTGTCCTCTTTGCTTTTCTTCATATTTCTGAATCATTTCATGTAACTGGGAAACTTCTCATGCAGTTACAAGGAGTCATATATTCTCCTGCTATACTCATACCTTGAACACACTCCCTGTGTATGGTTAATGTCAAATACCTTTATTATCAAGTCTGACTTCTAGGTTATCTAAATGGGCTTCCCATAAGGAGAAGCAGTCACACTGCAGGTTTTTCTTTGCTTTTTTCATAATCAAGTTAAGAAACAAGAGTTTACATTTTATCAAGATAATTACTAGGCTGTCTTTATTAGGTTTCTGACTACTTACTTAGAAAAACTTTAAAAAGGTTAAGGCTTTTATATTGATGTAAGTTTTTCTGTATTGCTTGTAAAGTCTTTTGATTATCACTCTTGCCTAAATGAGTAACTATTATTCTATGTTGATAAAATGTTGCAAGCCTTTTAACACCTTTGATAAACGTCCTCAAAATCAAAACTCTTAAGTCTCTGAACTAGACTTATTACTGGGGACTTATCAAAGCTATACAAATTAAATTACTGTGAGGTTGAAGAATCCTTTTCACAACTTCCAGTTAGATCATAAACTCCAGTATCACCACCTCCACTCCCCTTGAAAAGGTCCTTTATCATGTGCTATTAACTAATCCTGTGCTGTTAAGTTACAGGGCTTTGATTCAGAGTACAAAGATCTTATCTAAAGATGGCACCAACTCCTGCCAGTATCTGACACCAAACTTTAGTTAACCACAGGCTTATCTTCAGACCTGAGAAAACATAACAATCAAAGTAACTACCTCATGAGACATATGAACAGTCCTGCATTAAAAATTACTGAGATTCATTTAGTAATTTTCATTCAATCTGAGTCCTAGATTCTAGATAATTTGAATGTTTATCTATCTGTGAGCTTCCTTTTCCTATCATTGTCAAAATCAGACAGGGGTTTTGACCTTTTTTTTTGAAATGTTGCTAATTCTTTATGTTTGGTTTTACAGAGCTAAGAAAACCTTTTTTTTCTCTCTTTTTGAGCTATTTAGGACTTACAGAAATTGGGTAAAACAATAAAGATTACATTTCTCTCTCATCTAATATCTCCAGATTTTGAAAACTGTTCAATCCCACTGGGCCCATCTATTTTGCTTTGCCAACACACTGCTGCTAAAGCTATACAGTATCAACCACCTTCCCTCTAAGCCCAGGGACTATCGTGAAAGAGGTGGGCATATGAGATTGTTAAGTGCCAGTTTTTAGGGATGAAATTAGCTCAAAACTTCCAAATCAAAGACAAGTACACAAGTGCCCATACAGCTGATGAGTCAACACACAGAACTTATAGACAAGTCAATCCTGTAACCTTTCTTTTTGGCTTTGGGTTTTTGACTCTTATGTTACTTAAAAGGGTTCTATTGGTTAATGGCCCTCTGGCCACTTCCATTCCCATATGGCCTAGAATGTTTAATTGGCTGTAAGTCTTTTGACTCTAAGCTGCTTGGCCATAGGGGTCCCAACAAGTGACATAATGGATCTGAGGCAGGTAGCCACACCATCCTGGCAATGACATTAAACTAAATAAAACTTTGGCAATTGATGTTGCCTCTGGCATGTCTTGATGAAAAAGGAAGAATGTAAACTATAAAAATAAAATCCTAACATCCCACCAACTGAATGGACACTTTCTTTGGCCAAGGCAAGACAATGCAGGTGTCTCCTTTGGCCTCTCCAAAAGTGCCTTAACAATTTAGTTCCCAACACTTATGGGACAGGAGGTAAAATATGCATCATTATACCTTCTATTTTATGGTTTAGACACATCAACTGATCAGAGTTAATGTTAAAATAGAGATTATAAGACTGACAGAACAGATTCTTTTAGAAATAAGACACAAATTATAAACAAGTCTAAAGCCATGCCAGGCAAGGATTAAGTCTCCACCACAAGGTAATCAGGGTCATATGTTGCATGCATGTTTGTTCAATATGCATGTCAAGATCACCTCCGTGAATATAGATCCTCCTGTAACTAGTTAAATACATATTTTTAGCCAACCCATCCTTGTATCTCCACAGGAGCCCCAGGTGCAACTGACAGTGGGATACAAACTTTTATTTTTTTAACATTTTAAATTTTATTTTCTTTCTTTTGTGTGTGTGTGTGTGTGTGTGTGTGTGTGTGTGTGTGTGTGTGTTAGAGTCTTGCTTTGTCACCCGGGCTGGAGTGCAGTGGCACAATCTTGGTTCATTGCAACCTCCACCTCCTGCTTTCAAGTGATTCTCAAGCCTCAGTCTCCCAAATAGCTGAGATTACAGGCATCTGTTACCATGGTAGGCTATTTTTGTTGTTGTTGTTGTATTTTCAGTAGAGACAGGGTTTCACTATGTTGGCCAGACAGGATTTCATGTTGCCCAGGCTGGTCTTGAAATCCTGATCTCAAGTGATCCGCCTGCCTCAGCTTCCCAAGGTGTTGGGATTACAGGTGTGAGTTACCACACCCAGCTGGTACAAACATCTGACTTTCTTCTACGGGGGCCACAGATTCTGTAGTTAACACTCATCTATCCCCTGATTCAAAGACTATGATGATTACAATAATGTCAGGGGAAACTGTGACTCACTCTTTTCTACAACCTTTAGATGGGCATCTTGGTGACAACAATTAACGAAAAGATTAACCATAATCTTTTAAAAAAGAGCAAATATGTTGAGGAACTAATTTAACTTGAGATAAGTCATTGCTGGTTGCCCTGTTGTGGATTAGAGTGGCTCCCCAATGTAGGCTAAAGTTGAGTCCCCTTGAAATATGATGTGGTAGGCTACGTCCAGGTTTCTGCCCCAGTGGAAAAACCAACTGATGCTTTAAGAGATATAGCAATTGCCATATATGTTAACACTCTAGGTACTATGCTTACTACATGTCATGAGTTTGCTTCTAGCAGGACCACTCATCCCACAGACATGTCCCTACATCCTTTTTGATTGGGAGATAGGGTCCTTCTAAAGATTTGGAAAGTATAAGGTCCTGAACACCAACTTGCTGCCAGGTCAAATAGTTTCATTTCCACAGTTGCCCCACATTGACCATGTTCAGCAGGAAGCACCCAGATGAGAGACGATGTCCCACTGTCCCTAACCTTACAAGACTGTGGAATGAGCCTTTGACAGTGGGGAATTGTAACAATGAATCAGCAAAAGAGCTAACATAATTAACTCCATTTTTGTTTAAGGGGCCTTTACCCATTCCTACACATAGGCTAGGATAATTTTAGAGCACTAAGAAAAAACACAAAAACAATAATCATGCAGTTTTTGAAACTAACTCTGGGGTTAAAAGGGAAATATGTAAACAACTAGCTATGTTTTGTTAAAGATTTATAGGAACATTGTGACCTGACCAAGGATGAAGAAGTTCCAAACCTCTTCTGATCCTCACTGGTACCCAAATGCCTGTGGCCATTGGTCACCTCTTGTTCACAATCCCTTTCTCTTCCTCCTGCCTTTAATATAATAAGAGCCTGAAATTTTTACTGACCTAAGACAGTTCTTTAGAACATCAGTTCACCATTTTCAGGGTTTGCTGGCTCTCCGAAATAAAGTTGCTTTCCTTGCTCAAACAGGAGTTTGAGGAAGAAGAGCAACTTTATTTCGGAGAGCCAGCAAACCCTGAAAATGGTTGTGTGGTGAGCAGGACAAGTTTGGACTTGGTTACAATATTATCACAGAGTGAGAGAACACCTTAATTGTGATGCCCTGATTATATAAAAGGCTTAAACAGAAATATAAAAAACCTCAAGTTTATCCTAAAAATGACATTAGCCAATATCAAAAATGCAAGGAAAAATATGTTTAGTCAACAAGAAGGTAAACTTTTCAAAAATGAGAAAGGTGTTAGGAAAAAGACTTGCTAAAATATTTCAGCTTCTTTCTTTGAATTTTATTTAATTATTCTGTTTATAGCAGCTCTGTTAAAAAATATGGGTAGAGCTTTAATGAACATTACCATGAAGTGTTGGTACTTGCTATCTTTATGCATTCCCAGCAAATTTTCTCTTTTAACACAAAGCAGGTTTTTAATCCCATAAACTATGAGGAGGAGCATCATCATATCTCATTCAACCTAATGATTATACAAACCCTCAGCTAAGTCAAATAAGTCACTCCTTTGCTGCAGAGTCTCCAATTATTTCTCATTTAGCTTATAAGGAAAGGCAATCCTCATGGTGCCTGTAGATCTCCATATTTTCAGGCCTGGAAATCTCTGTAGACATTTTCCCTTTGGGCATAAAGAAACTTTGGGGCATAAAAGTAATATTATCTATCTTGATTGAATACTGGTTACTTGAGTGGTTACATGCATTACAATTTAGAAAAAAATTCAAAATGCATTAATCTGTATACCTTAAATAGGTGCATTTTATTATATCAGTTATAGCTTGATAAAGTTGAATATAGAAAATAGGGAAGAGGGAGGAGAAGGAAGAACAAGTGCAATCCATCAAGCACAGATAAAATTCATTTGGCCTTTCTAATGAAAATGGAAGCTCCCATTTTTATTCAGAGATTCTTGAATAAAGAGGAAGGAGGTATATATCAACGAATGGCATCATGGTAATTTGGAAGATTAAAGAATTATAAAGAGTACTATAAAAGCCATACCGTTATAAAGTATTCAAATATGGTGTATATTTACTATGACTTCTTTCAGAGCTTTTATGTTATGTGATAGCAATGAAACTAATTTTATAAGTCTATGTTCTGCTCCTTTCCCCTAAATTTTAGGATTTTTATTTCATTTGCAATGAATGAAGAAGCACAGCTCTGAAAGACTGAATTCCCAGCACTGGGTGTCAGCTCTACCAAATGCGGTACAGATTGCAATCTGACCACAGAATCTCACCACAAAGAATGCCGGGGTCTCCTCTGATTATAGCTACTGGCTATAAGTTCTAACTAGGGTTTAATGCAAATTTTCCCTGTAGTCTGCTTGGGGAGTTGGCCTCATTCTTGAATTTTTCTCAGAAAGTTATTGCCAAAAATGTGAGTTCTCACCGCAGTGAAAGAGGAAATCCAGCTATGAGCATATATAATACAGGAGAAAGAATGCAGAGAAAACACATTCTTTTCTTGCTACTCAGTTGCCAGAGAAGTATATCTATAATATTTTCAGTTGTGATGCTATGTCCCATTGAATTCAACCACACATTGGAAAAATCAGTTTACCCTAGAATCTAGTTATTGTTGTGGTACAGTTTAATTTTTGTCAAATAATTCTTTCTAAAATTTCTAATGTAAGTCTTTAATTTTCAAGATATTTTGCTTAGAAGATGATATGGTTTGGCTGTGTCCCCACCCAAATCTCACCTTGAATTCCCAGGTGTTGTAGGGGGCAGGTCTTTCCTGTGCTGTTCTTGTGAAAGTGAGTAAGTCTCATGAGATCTGAAGGCTTTGAAAAACAGGAATCTCCCTGTACAAGCTCTCTCTTTGCCTGCTGCCATCCATGTAAGACGTGACTTGCTCCTTCTTGTCTTCTGCCATAATTGTGAGTCTTCCCCAGCCATGTGGAACTGTAAGTCCAGTTCAACCTCTTTCTTTTGTAAATTGCCCAGTCTTGGATATGTCTTTATCAGCAGTGTGAAAACAGAGTAATACAGAAGTAATTTCTATGACATTATATAAGAACTAAAGTTTTATTTTTCCAAAAATGTTGAATGTTGATGCTGTATTCTGGTGATGTTTGTTTTACCAGAAAAATACATCATATTCAGGATATGAACTAAACAAAAATTAGTTGCTACTGCTCAACTGACTTAAATATGAGATGTTGTCTAATTATCTCTGATTGCTTCCTTTGGTTTCTAGTGATTAATTATGCCTAATTATTCCTTGATTTTTGGAAAATCACATTTAAGTTTCCTCTGCAAAGAAAAGAATAGGTAAATCAAGTCCTCTAGAAAAAAAGCATAAAAATATAGTTTTGAAATTCTAAAACTCATAAAGGGAAATAAAAATCCCATTCGTTTTTATTTTAATATTTTGCTAGAAAGTACAATGGAAGGAAAGAAGTCTTTTTTCTAAGACAGCAGTATTTTAGTCAATTGTGTATCAACAGACTTCTGTATAACTGGGAGCCACATCTTGGAAATGCTCTTTCCAATGGCAGTGACATCTGAGGAGAGTCCACTCTGATATGGACACTATACTAGGAGGAGACAAGAGTACAGTAGGAAAAAATTAGTCTGTGCGGTGAAGGAGTCCTACATTGTCCCTCAGTAGATTTCTATAAAATTTCACTTAATTAGTAGCAAGTAACAGAGTTGGAATGAGGACCTAGATCTTTCATTTTAATCTAATACTCTTTCTTCCACTATTTTAGTTAGAGTCATATGGGCAAGCCCACAATTAGTACATGAGGACATTTTTAATGGGTAAGATTACAGAGAACCATTAATTCTAGCCATTAAATTAATCAATTCAGCAAAGCTCTGATTCCCCCTTCCCTTAATTGTTAAATAAGTAGTTCTCCATTCAGTTGTTAAAGGATTATTTCTTGATAACAAGGAAATAATAAACTTCTTAAGACACCCTGGTATGAATAGCTGAAATTGATTGATAGTAATCTCAGTAAATCGTTTCATTCTAATTTTTGGTATATCTATACTGCTTTGAATAACTCTTCTACCTACAGCCCATTAATAAATATTTGCCTAGTCAAATTTTAGTTTGTGCTATACTCCTAGAAGGACATGGGGTGTATGGAAGCGAAACTAACTGGATATTTAAGGCATTCAATAATGTCTTTTTGCTTCCGATTCTAGCTGTATAACATAGGTAAATCTCTTAAATTCTCAGAACTTCAATTCATTTATATGTAAAGTGAGGAGTTGTACCATATTGGTAGTTATTAACATGTACTGTACTTATGAATCAGTCTGAAAATCTTGCTAAACTGCATATTCTGAGCTTTTCTTAATTTTTTTTTGTTTTCTCGGAAACGCTGATTCTCTAGGTCTTGGTTGGAGTCCAGGTATCTGCAAATTAAATAAGCACTTGAAGTGATAGTATCTGAGTGTCCGTAGGCAAATGTTAGGAGAACTGAATCAGATGTTCTTTGAAAGATTTTCATGGTTCTAAAATGTTCTGATTTAAAATCCACAAAGAAAAAAAGCATTGAAAATGAATCAGCAAACTAGATGTAATTAAAGCTTCTTGCAATTCCATTAATAAACTTTTTAGAATGAATTACACTTTATGTCTTCATTTTTTCTTTTACATTGGCATGAAAGCAGTGAACCCTGAAATGTTTCAGTCCTTGAGTTCCCAAAGTTATGTAAAAGCTTGATAATCTTAATTAACCCACATTATCTCTTATCATATAATAATAGTGCTTTCTAGAAGTTGACTATCAGATGGTGAAGTTAGGTTTATATCAGCTGGTCATTACTTCAAGTTTTTAAGCTATAGAAGTCTGAACTACCACCAAAAAGAGCAACTATCATTTTTTGCTCACATAAAGAAGTAAAAATCTTCAAAATATTCTCAGGTGTTCTATAAATATTTTTCTCTCATGTTCTAGGAAACCACCTAAAGTATATTCCAATTGATAAGCTAAAATCACTTGGAGTTTGCTAATTTTGAAGATGAAAAAGCTCCAGGAGCTTTCACACAGCTCCTTAGTGGTTTCAGTGTGGCCTGACTAGTGGCTGGACTGTGCCACAACAACTTATTTTAAAGGTTATTGTGATACTATTGGTAAATAAATGATTGGAAAACATAGATACCTATCTGCATGTAAAATAATAGCCTTCCACCACTTTCTCTTTTTCACTTTTCACATTCCGATCTTATCCCTGTTTTACTACTTATCACGTTGTAAAATAAGTTTATATTAGATTTTACCTGAAGATAGTAAAGATAGTAAGGATGCTAAGGGTTTTCTTAGGATACTTAGAAAATATAGTAATTCTGTTATCTCTCTAATTATAATAAGATTATTGACTAATAATCTGGAAGTATGGCCTCAGTACACTCACCTGAGCAATGAGAGACTGGGTAGGCCTGATATTCTTTATTATAGAAACACATTGTTTAGAATAAACAGTTACGTAATCAAACTGCTGTGTTAATTTCTTGGTTTCGTCACTTGATTGCTTTGTATACTGGGCAAGTTATTTCAGTCATCTTTGATTCAATTTCTTCATCAACATAAAAACCATGATCACTATTGTACATACTTCATGAACTTCTGCAGATATTAAATTACTTAGTATACATAATTATACCAGTTATGTCATTTTTTAAATTGTTGCTAATACTGTTAATCCATTCAAATATTAAATGAAAGCATAGTTTGTAGTTCTGTAAGTTTCAATACTTCACTATATAATTTGAGTACAATGCATTATTCGTAAGCTGAATATAGGGTTTTGGATATCTTCTGAAGGGTAGGTTACAATAAAATTGCTAATTATAGAGGGTTGCTAAAGGTATTTGTACCCTGTGAAGTATTCTATTATCAGTTCTATTCTGGTTATTCAATGTCAGCCACAATGCCTCTAAAAAATTTGAAGTCAGCCTTTATTTTAAAAGTGCCTTAAACATTTCACTGAAATAATTAAATGTATTGGTTTAATGGAACTCTCATGATACAGTAGAAGAAATGGGCTGTTAAGAATATTGAAAGAATTAAGAAGCAGTGAATTTAAAGCGCCCTCTTCAACTTTTCTTAGATGTTATAAATGTAACCATTCCTACTAAAGTACACCATACTCGAAAGATCTTTTCTCTTTTTTTATGATTTAGAAATGGTAGTTACAATATGTTGAAAGTATAAGCCTTGGTTTTTTATATATGAAAGCACTATCAAATCATAATGAAGGCAATTTTTCCTATAGTCTTAATTTAGCTATTTAATATAAAATCAAAAAAATGGCATACATAACTATCTAGAAGTGTCAATAAATCATTAGAGCGGACATTCAGTGTTTCCAGTAAATAATTATTAAGTATAGATTAGGTTGCTTTGGGAGAGTATAACATCTTAGAACTTTACTTCATGATAATAATCACCACTTATTAAATATATACTGTATGTGACACTACATACTAAACCCCTTTCATTTAATCTTACTTAATATCTCAATAACCAGTGCTGAATTGTCTTACAAAGTTGGTATCAGCACCACCCCCTCTGAATTCTCCCTGATTCAAGGAAAAATAGGAACTGAGTTCTAGTGAATTCACTTCCACTTATGGTTTTGACATAGAGAGAAATGAGAAATTCTGTCTGATACATAAAATGCAGGAGACAAAGAGAGACCATTATGCTCCAGAGACAGTTGCTCCTGGACAGCTACAAGGTTCAAAGTAACTCAGATGAGCTGTTTGAGAAGAACCTGCATCATTGCTGCAAGCTGAGATTATCTGGATGAGCTTCGCAGAGATCTTGAATTTGCTATGGCCGTGGACTGAGCTCTTCATAGCCATATACTTCTGTTGTGTTGACAGTGGTTTCAGATCTTCCATTTGTTTTTTAAACACAACATTTAAACCCTTTCTATTGATAACAAATAAGGTGGTGTCTATTTTCCTGACTGAACCTTGATTGACTCAATCCTGATAAAGTAGGTATCATTATTCCCTTTTGAAAATCAGGTTATGTTCAAAGAAGTTAGGTAACATATTTGAAAATCACATGACTAATACATGGATCCACTGAGATGTGTTCCAAATTCAAAGATGATTTTGCTCGATGAAGAACATATCAGTCACTAAGTTCTGAGGCTGGTTCTGAAAGTGGTATGTCTTATACTAAATTAATCTATGTTGTATCTACACAAAGAGAAAGAAAAGGGTATGTATCATGACAAAATGTAGGATATCGATCTGGGTGGTGGGAAAAGTTATAAGAAAAGTTATAGGGAAAGACACAAACCTTCTTTGAAGGCTGGGAGGTTTTGCAAAGATTTGGGAGAGAATAAAAGCTGAAGGAGGCTAATTCTTTTACCTTGAGGCTGAGGGCAAGAAGTAGGTAACAAGGGAGTGTAAAGGAGTTTATCTAGATACATTTGTTTACTTATGTTGTCCGGAAACTGACCTTTGATCATCCCCGTGCAAGACTACTCCCTGGGAGGGGGGACGGCAATGTTAATTATCCACAGGTTGTGTTGGCTCCAAGCCTTTGTCATTAAATCTGTACTGAATAAATACAAGTGGCTCTGGCTTATGGAGACTGCTAACTTTCTTCGGCCCCTAGTGCCGGCAGTCCCCTAGCCTGCTCTTTCACTGGATACCTGTGTCTGAATACTGCTTTCATCTGTCGCTCGGTCAGGGTCTGTGGAATGGACCCGGCAACTAAATATAGTAATATAAATTTAATTTAATGTACATTTATTTTCTATCTAAAATAGGGGCAGCTTAATAATGAGAGAACTTCATCATGCAAGTTTATAAGGGTTTTTTTTGTCCAAGTTTCCATAGGTGTATGCAACCTTAAAAGTCTGATGTGCCTTTAGAGTCTATTGGTATTAATACATGAAGACCATTTCCTCATGCAGCAAGCCACCCTGGGACCTGAGACATGATAACTGAAAACTTTACACAGAAGATAAAGACCAATGGCTTAGTTTTTTGAGGAAGGTAACACAGAAGGAATAAGAACATTAAGAGCCAAAAAGAAAAATAATTTAATGAAAGTAGGCAAGTGAAACTAAACTGACTACTCTCAATTTACATGTTTTGAGACAACTGACTCTTCTAAGGTTGAAGTCAATTGTCTTGTCTCCTTGGAAACAAGATGTCTCCTGGATAAAGCCCTCTCCCCTCTCAGGCTAAATTCAATAACCCTTGCTCTAGCTCCATTATCACCATATGTATGTATTTATCAGAAAAATTTCAAACTTTCTTGCCATTTAAAATGGTGGACAGAGGCAATATCTTTAGTTTTGGAATGTCGAGAATCTTTAACGAGGTATGGAGAATTGTAGATGCTTAGTAAGCAGTCATAATAATAATAACATGGGTCATTTGTGTATCTCTTTGGTGAAATACATAATCAACTATTTTGCCCATTTTTAAATTTTTTCTTCTCTATTGAATGGTGAAAATTTTTGTGTATTCTGGATACAACTTATTTACCAGATATACGATTGGAAAATATTTTCTCCTAGTTTTTCACTCATATTTTCATTTTCATAATGATGTCATTCGAGATGCAGAAGTTTCAAATTTTGGTATAGTGCAGTTTATCAATTTTTGTCCTATAAGAATTATTATTTTGGTATTACATATAAGAATTATTTGCCTTATCCAAGGCCAAAAAATTTATTTCTCTCTTTTTTCCAGATGCTTTTGTTTGTTTGTTTTTATGGTTATAGCTCTTATATTTAGGTCTTTGATCCACTTTTAATAAATTTTCTATATAATGTTAGGTAGAGGTGCAAGGTTCCCCCCTTTTTTCTAATAAAAAATATTTCAATGGGGATATATAATTTTTCCAGCAGCATTTGTGAAATGACTATTCTTTTCCTATTGAATTGTCTTTGCACTTTCGTCAAAAGTCAGTTGACCATAAATATAAAGTTGATTTCTGGACTTTTAATTCTGTTCATAATCTATACTCTTCTCTTAGTGTCAATGCCAAATGGCATTGATTACTATGGATTTATTGTTCTTACTTCTTCTTCTCATTTTATGTATCATGAGTATCATTTCAAGTCAATGTTCATGCTTTTGAATAATTTAAGGAATCTTCCTCATACTTTGTAATAATAAACATAATTAATGAATAATGCTTTTCAACTGGTCCCTTATGGATTCATAAAGATTGCCTCCTATGCTGTATTATAAAAGCTTTGTTTGGCTATTCACATGTAATCTATAAATTATTTGGAATGAATTTTTGTAGTATAAATGGGAGGTACAATAATTTTCATATCAGTACTTAAATGCCTCTGCATAAATTACTCGAAAAGACTATAGGTTACTCACTGTTCTGTAGTGCAATCTATGCCATAAATCTATTTTTTTAGACCTTCTTAAAGATTTTCATTAAATTTTTATACTTTTATTTTTTCTACTCAAGTACACCTTTGTCAAATTTATTACTATGTACTTGATATTTTTCATATACTGTAAATTATATCTTTTTCTTTGTAGTGTGTTTCTGAATGTTGTACTAGAAACCAGGAGGTTTGCTCAACTTTCCAATTAATTCTAAAAAATTAATGTTTAGAGTCTATTGAATTTTTAAACACACACACAAAATCCTATTGTCTATAAACATTTAGAGATTTTCTATTTGCAATATTTATACTTTAATTTATTTTAGTTCTTTACAGCATTTTCCAATATTGAATAGAAGTAGTAATTTTGAGTCTTTCTTTTGTCCCTATTTGTACAGAGAAAATATTTTAATGTTTCACTTTCAGTATGATGATTCTAAAATTTTTTGTTTTGTTATGTTTTTGCTTCTCTGTTTATTGTTGAAAAAAATCTTTGTTTAATTAAGTAAGCTCCACTCTATTTGTATAGTAACACAAATTTTATAAGATAATTTTTTCTAAAACTACTGAGATACTCAAATGATTTTTCTTCTTTAGCTTGTTAATGGGATGCAACATGTTGATTGGCTTTTTTAGGATTGACCTTGGTAATGTTGAATTCTCTTTCTATATTGGTTCATTATGTTTACTCATATTTTATTTAGAATTTTGTATCTGGTATCTTTTAGTTTATCTGTAATTTTCTTTGCCTGTACTGATGTTCTCAGTTTTAATATCAAAGTTATAATTACCATTTAAATTGATTTAAGGGGTGTTTCCTCATTCCAGTCTCTGGAATAATTTATTTAAGATTTGAAATATGGTTTCTTCAAATATTTGGTAAGTTTTCCCAATGAAAACATTAAGTCACAAAATTTTCACAATGGTAAAATATAAAATTACTAATTTCTTTTCTGTATTAAATATATAATTACATAAGTTTTCTATATTGCTTGTTTTATATGTGTTGTTAAAAGCTTTGTCAATTTTATTTAGTTTTTCATTTTAGCTGAAATAAATTCGTTCACAATATCTTATTGTCTTATTTTCTGCTGGGCCTAAAGTGAATCAATAAAATTTTCTTATTCATTCCTGATATCAGTGATAAGATTTCTCTTTCTCTTTTTCTTTTTCTCTGTCTCATTAGTCTTGCCAGAGTTTTATCAATTTTACTGGTCTTTTCAAAAAATTAATAGTTTACTTTGTTGATCCTCTCTTTTGTATTTTTATTTTGCTTTTTATTTATTTATGCTTTATTCTTTATTATTTGTACATTTTTACTTACTTTGGATCCTTTTATTTTTATTTTCTTTTTATTGAACTTTGCCTAACTTCTTGGGGTGGATATTTGACTCATTAATCTTCAATGTTTCTTCTTTTGTAATATACTCACTTAACAAAGTTCTTCAAGAAATTGTTTTTCTGTATCTTACAAACAATGTATGGATTGTTTTCATTGTCATTTACTTCAAATATTTATTTTTTTGCAGCTTCTTTGAAATGTGTATTATTTAGAATTGTATTTTTTAGATTTTAATTATTTGGAGATTTCTTAGTTTTATTTTTTATTCATTTTTAATGCAGTTGTACTGCAGTTAGAGAGTATATTCTGTATGATTTCAGTGCTTAACCATATGTTGAGGTTTGGTTTATAGACCTGCAATTAGTCACTTTTTATCAGTGGCCCATATGTGCTTGAAGAAAACATATTCTGCAAATTTTGGTTTTACTCAAATCTTCCTTGCCCTTTCTTATTTTTTTCAACTTTTTCTTCTGTAACTGGAATGCACAGTTACGTAAGTTTCAATTCTCCTTCAATGATTGTTAATATGGCTACTTCTTTCTGGTTTCTCTTTATCTTTGTTTCATATGATTTGAAGCCATATATTGGATGCATATATATTTTGATTTGATGTATTTTCTTGGTACTTTATAAATTAAACTTTTTATTCTTGTGAAAAAGCCTCTTTTATCTCTTAAAATGCTTTTTAATCTTTCTTTCTGAAAGGAAAACAAAATCTGAAATTGATCTCCATGTGCAAAACTAAGTCACACCATCATCTCTGTAGGTAACTTTTCTCCTCTACTTTATATGCTATTTTATTGACAATGACAGCATTCCACATTCATTATTTTTCTTTATATATATATATGTGTGTGTGTTTTTGTTTTTTTTTTTTTTGAGACAGGGTCTCACTCTGTCACCCAGGCTGGAGTGCAGTGGTGCAATCATAGATCACTGTAACCTTGAATTCTTGGCCACAAATAATCTTCTGCCTTGGCCTCCAAAAGCACTAGAATTACAGGCATGAGCCACCATGTCTGGCCACAGTCCTTTTTGTTGTTGTTGTTCCTTCTCACTTATGGCACTGAGTGGTAAGCTTTCTATCTTCTCTAACAAAACTATTACAACACAGCAAGCATACATGGCAAAAGGACCATAGAATCTCATGATTTTACTCATTCCTATGATTAGAACTTATATAAGCTAATGGGAAGCTAAGAAGTAATTTGTAATAGTAAGTAATTTGTCTCTTGTGGATTAGCAGTCTAAATTATATTTTGTACTATGATCTCCTGGTGATAGTTTTAAAAAATCCGTATGTTCACCAAGGAATATGTTATTTGGAATGTATTCTGTCTTTCTCCTAGCTCATCAGAAATACAGGGCATTGTCTAAAATTCCTGTGATGGTTCTTGTCATTAATGAGACTTGTCTATGGGTATCCCTAATAATGTTTGTGTTGATTAAATTATCTGGCCTGATTGTTTAACCTAATGAGAAAAGCTACTTTTTAAAATGCGACTAGACTTCATATTTTAAAAGAGTCCCAGCCAGTAAAAGTTTCCCTAACTGGAAAATAAATATGTATCATTTTTATTGGAAAAAGTAAGTTAAAAAATATGAAATGCAGAGACACTGCCCAAATATTGTCAAGGCTTCACGGGACAGAAACAATCTCTAGCTTCACCCACAATTTAATTATTCTATGCCCAATTGACTTTTTATTTTTCTTCTCCCCAACTCTATCAACATTTTTTAAGATATGAAATGAACAGAGTTAGTGGGACTAATACTGAATTTCTGTGACTTGGCATTTAGCAATCATGACTGTGTTTGCTTCACTGATTTTAAGTAATCTTAATATATATAAATCAGAATGTACACCTGACATGAATCTAAAGATTTGTTAGGAAACCTGCAGAGAGGTCCTTATTGAATCTAAGAATTCATGGCAAGTGGAAAACATACATTCTGAAAGCAGAAAATAGCCTATTCAGGTTGAATTAATCTTGTCACTAACTTATTAGACCAGTTTCCTTAAAGTAATACGAAATATGAAATAGCAAATCTTGGGAATTTTTAAACAATTTTTTGTTATAGCAATGAGTCATGTTGGTTGAAAAATACATGGAAAAAATCACTATAAAAATCAGAGGCAGGTACTGCTGTTCACTTTTTGGTATTTTTTATTTTAATCTTAGTTTTATTACTGTGTATATATGCATAATTTTAACCATCTCTAAAACTTTAAATCTTTTATAACAATGTCTCATTTATTACATTTATCATCAAAATATATATATATATATATTTTTTTTTTTTTTTTTTGAGATGGAGTCTCGCTCTGTCACCCAGGCTAGAGTGCAGTACCGCAATCTCGGCTCGCTGCAAGCTCTGACTCCCAGGTTCACACCATTCTCCTGCCTCAGCCTCCCAAGTAGCTGGCACTACAGGCGCCCACCACCATGCCTGGCTAATTTTTTATATTTTTAGTAGAGAAGGGGTTTCGCCGTGTTAGCCAGAATGGTCTTGATCTCCTGACCTCATGATCTGCCCACCTCGGCCTCCCAAAGTGCTGGGATTACAGGCGTGAGCCACCGCGACTGGCCTAACATATTTTTAAAACCTGCAGAATGTTTGTATTACTTTTGTCATAGTACATAACATTTAAATGGATTTCTTGTTTGTGTATGTGTGTATATTCATTCACAACACTGATAGTTTTTCTGAATATTTCCTTTGGATTTTATTCTTTTCTCATTCAACTAAATAAGAACCTGCACCATCTTTTTCTAGTGTAAAAATTACAATATCTGAAGTGAAACTACTAGAATAAATCTTGTGACAATTCTTAAGGATTATCTTTTAGTTGGTATGGTTTCCAAAAAAGATTGTACTAAGTTTTACTCCCAGTGGAAATATTTAAAGGCAATACTTCCATTTCTTTTTTACAGAATAGAATCCAATTATTCTTTTTCATCCCATTGTTGTATACAGACTTTATTTCATTTACTTGTAGATCAAAGGTTTTTTGGTTTCCTATCTTTTGGACACTGTTTTGGGTACTAGAGAGAGCATGAGTAGCTAAGTTTCTGAAATTTACAGTGAATGGAAAAAGATAGGCATAAATGAAACAATCACAAAAATAAATGTAACAGCTACAGTTACAGTTGTAAAACTGTGGTCAGTGCTATGGAGGAGTGTACAAGGTGATATGAGAGATCATAATAGGGAAGTTAAATCTCTGGTTCATGTAAAACTGCCATGGACACACTCTCAGTGAACTTAGAGCTAAAAGAGGAGTAATAGCCATTAGACACAAAAAAGCAGATAGAAAATGTTCTGGGAAGAATAATGTCTATAAAGGATCTGGGGTAGGAGAGAGCATTGTTCTTTGGTGATATGAGATTGGAGGGATAGGTGAATATAAAACATAAGCATAAAAACTAGATAGTATTTAAATCCTTTCCTTGGATCTTAATGAGAAGCACTAAAGAGATTTAAATAGAGAATGACAACATGTAATTTGGCTTTTAAACAAAGTTATGTTTTTTAATGCAGAAAATAAATTGGAATGAAGCCCATGTGAATGCATGGAGACAAGGTGAAAAGGTAGATGAGAAAAAAGTTGGAAATATTTGCAGGTACATTTGACAGGACCAGGAGATGTCTTGGGCATTCATGATGATGGAAGAGTGGTCAATAATGACTCTATTTTCTAGCTTGTATCATGAGATGAATGGAGACCCGTAGAAGAATAAGTTTTGTGAGTGACTGGGTCATGTAATATATTTTGGATTTGTTAAATGTGAACTACTTTTAAGAAACTGTGGGGAAAAACTTCGTTTTGTTTACATCCATGAATCATTTGAAGCACGAAAAATAATTCTCAGCTGAAGATACAAATATGAGGGCCCTGGGTGTATAACTGAAGGCACGAGTATAAATGGGATTATTTAGGGAGGGCTTAAAAGTGGATAGAGAGTAAATTCACAGACTATAGGTACAAAATAATCACCAATGACAATATATTATGCAGCTTAAGACCAATTGTATGTATTTTCCTGACAATGTCTTTTAGAGCCTGTGACTAGTTTTCTCCTGAAGATGTGGTGATCTTCTTATCAATTTTTAAGAGTACTTAAATGTTTTAACAATTATATTTAACTCAAAATTAGTTTCCAACTTGTTTTCCTTTAATTATAATTTAAAGTGTATATTTTATGTGTACGAATATTAAAAATTTATGAAGTCATATCTATTGCCTTTGTCTCTTATTACTTTACCAATGCTTACAAAAACTTTCCTCATTAATGCTTATATAAATCTTCTTTTTTATTGCAAATTTTTCCATTCTTCTGGTTTGTAAAATGCCTAAAGTAAAATGTGTATCTGAATTAATTAATCGTTAAATATCTTTTCAATTTTCTCAACCCAATATATTGGACAATTCACCTCTTACTCCCAGAGTTTTATCTCTACATATTATTCCTATGAAGCTTTTACACATGCTGAGACTAAATGGTCTGTTCTATGTCATTGATTCTATTTGCCTAGTTGTCTATTTACCTTGTAGTTTTGAGGTAATAAATGGTCCTTTAAACTGTGTGGTGTTTGTGTGTGTGTATTTAAATTTTCTCAATGCTATTTTTAGTAAAGGTAGATTAAATGTGACAAATAACTACCCAAATGGAAACAGTTGAGGTAACTTGATGAATTGACTATAGTTATAGTCTTTTAACATACCTATTAATTATTTATAGAAAGCAAAATTAAAATAAGCTAGAAAGAGAAGATTAAATAAAGAGAGTAACATACTGGAAAATATTTACCAGATATTTAACATTATCATAAATAATTTAAGTATTCTGAAAACCAAGCAGAGGGAGCTTTGTTTATCTGAAATTTTTGGAGAACATTTATGAACTGGATTTATAAATAGATTTGCTAACTGGTACTTTGTAACTTCTAAAAAGCAGACTAGTTTATTTTCCAAAATAAGTGAGTTCTTTAAATGACTCACGACCAATTTAGACTTATATTGAAGAAACATCTAGAAACAAATACTTTCCAATTTTTTAAAAATTGACTTTGGTGTCATGAACTTAATGTTTATTAATTAATATTCAGAATATTCTAACATTTTAAAGATGACAATACAATTTACTTTATATACAGCAGTTTGGTAAAGAAAACAACAAATAATCAATTTAAGTGAAATAACCCATTTTGAATATGTATTTTAATTAACTCGTCAGAGATGTTAATTGGCTTTCTATTATTTTGGACAGTTGTGGTGCTTTGATAAGCTCAGTTTTTCTTCTTTACTTTTATCTACTTTAGCATGAATTAATTTTTATATTTTATAGATATGTAAAATTTTACATACTTTATTAATTTTAATAAAGTAAAACATAATTCATGCTAAGAAAATTAAGTTTATAAAACAACTGACAATGAACAGTTTAGCATAGCCTTCAATCTCACTCAGACTATATTCTCTCTTTATTTCATTTTAAAATCCAGTTATTTCAAACTGGAACTGTGTTGTAGAAGAGAGCTTTAATATTACTTTTTATTGTTTCTTAATATTTCTAACTATTCTATCTTCAAGATATCCAAAGAGAAAGGAATTTCCACAGTGTATAATTATTTATTTTCATGTTTAAAATCTTAGAAATCACTCCCCAATATTATATATAAAAGAAATACTATTAGAAAGGAATATTTTTAAAACTTGTTTCTAAAGAGTGAAGTTTTGCTTCACTCTTTAATGATGGACAAGAACGCCTTCCCTAAACTTGTAATGTGGCTGCCGCTACTTATAGAAGCCTGGTGATAATTGCCCTATGGGCCTTTTATGTAAGATGAATCAAAACTTGCAAATATATAATTGCTGAATTAAACACTCACCTTAAAGGAACTGTTCCAGAATATAACAGAAAATCAGTCAATCTCTTTATGCAGGTTCCTTGATTTTAGCAATTTTCAAACAGATATGATTAGGTTGGTGCAAAAGTAGTTGCAATTTTTGCCACTGAAAGTAATGGTCAAAATCGCAGTCACTTTTGCACCAACCTAACAGAAGTTTTAATTGGCGTGCAATCACTTGTAGAGTGCCTTGAATAATATAAGCATCCATACTCTAGCCTGAATCTCTTAAATTGGAACCTGTGAAAATGGAACCAGGTGACTATAATTTCTTTAAAACACTGTGGAAAGATGATCTTAATGCAAGGCAGTGATTAACACAAGAAAATGAGCAGTAGAATACAACTAAGAATTC